>NC_000002.12:91770328-91954236 GCF_000001405.40 Homo sapiens
TACTCCTCTCTCTGCTGCATCCTGGGAAGCTGCTCTGCTCAGCCTAGATGAGGCTCAGTTGTGTGTGTGTGCACGTGCTTGCACGTGTGTTGGAAGTGGGTGGTATTGACACCAGAGTCAGTGTCTCCGGGTGAGTGAGGCTTGCACATTTCTCGGGACAGGGAACTCACTACCTTATGTGCCCAGGACAAGAGCTGTGGGGTCTGGAGAAGACTTCTAGGCCAGCCCCTGCAGTCTTTCCTCAGGTGACATGGCTTCCCCAGACCCACTTCCCCCTAGGTGCCCTCTCTGCATTCAGGGGGTAGAGGGCTGACTGGGACAGAATGTGACACACTCAGCATGTGAGGAAAAGCCTCCTTCATTCTGTAGGCCCTACCTCTATTAACATGTCCTTTGATAAAGTGCCTCCCCTCCTGTCTCCCCTCTCTGGAATCCTCAGCTGCTGCCAGGCTTCAGCTGTGCCCCATTGAAGGCAGCTCTGCCTCCCTACTTTCCCCAGCCCAGGGTTTTCCTTTTGGGGTCAGCTGCAGGGATCTGGGCCATCCTTTACCCACTCAGACTTTCTTCCTGCCCACCTGCTGCTGTGAATCCTGTATGTCATATACATATATATATAAAATATATTATATAATTATTATATTTATGTAATTTACATAATATAATATATAAATGTATTATATATAGTATTATATATAAAATTATACTTTAAGTTCTAGGGTACATGTGCACAACGTACAGGTTTGTTACATATGTATACATGTGCCATGTTGGTGTGCTGCACCCATTAACTTGTCATTTACATTAGGTGTATCTCTTAATGCTATCCCTCCCCCCTCCCCTCACCCCACGACAGGCCCCAGTGTGTGATATTCCCCTTCCTGTGTCCAAGTGTTCTCATTGTTCAATTCCAACCTATGAGTGAGAACATGCATGTCTTATATGCTCTCAGGCAGAGAGGAAACTGCTGAGCAGGGCAGGGGACAGAGCCCTGTGGCTCTCCACTTTAGACCCCTCCCGGCTGACTGCCATGGAATGCAGCCACTTAGCAGGGCCAAATCCCCTGATGTTCCTGTTGGCTGTCTAGCCTTCAGGGACAGGTCATGGGGCCTTGGTTCCTGCCCTGTCATCTTCCCAGTCACCCTGATCTTCAGGGGGAGGAATAGCCTGAGAAAGGACTTGGTCATAGCACCTCCACCCTAGGGCTATTGAGGATCTCACAGTCGTGTGTCTGGTGGGTTCTGTCTAGAGCCCATTTGAGAGCAGTGGATGACAGGACAGGCCTATGTGACCCAGGCAGGCAGCAATATTGGGTCAGCCTTCATGTCCCCTTCTGTCAGCTTGGGGCAGCCTGGAAGGATGATTGTGGGGTAGGTGTTATGGGCACGGAATAGACCTCAGGTGGAGGCTGCAGGGGCTCTCCGGCACTGTAGACACAGCAGGCCAGGATCAGGGGAGGGAGCCATGACTCAGGGAGACTCTGGCCCATATCGTTGGCAGATGAGGGCCACAGGGGAATGGGCAGCACTGTCCAAAGTCCCCTGGGCTGGGTCCGCAGCTGTTCCTGGCTCAGACTTCTTGGTGGGCTGGTCAGAAACATGCAGTAACTTGGGGCAGTTACCAGGTGGCCAAGTCTGCACTGCTGGGCTCTGTGAGCTTGGGCCAGCTCAGGCCCTCTCTGGGCCCTGCCTTTCTGGGCTGTTCAGGTGGTTCCTTGGGCCTGGGGTGCTAATGTTTCTGGATGGGCAGCAGAACCAGTCTGCACTCAGGGCCCCAGGCCATGTTCCCGGAACACACCTTTAGCATTGACAGCAGCGTGTGGTGAGGCCCCTTAGTCTGGGTTCTGGTCTAGTGCCAGGGGCACCACTACTCCACCGCCTCCAGAGCCATCTCTGGGACACTGGCTGTGCGTTCAGATGTTCTGAACAGGGACAGGGAGAGCCAGAGGGACCCAGCCTGGGGCTCACTGGAGGGGCTTGTGGGCAGACAGTGCCCTTTAGAGGGAACTGAGTCTGAAGGGAAGGAAACCCTTTCCCCAGCTCATAGCATCTGCCATCCAGGGCCCTGCCAGGGCTGCGTGAACTTTAGTCATGTGGTGACAGGCCGAGTCACCGTGCCAAGTCACTGTGCGCCTCCTTGCTGCTGTGACGTCAGCTTCCCCATCCTCCCAGCCAGGCTGGATCTCTGTGAGAGGCCTGCCTGTCCTGCACCCTGTGCGGATGCCTCCCACTGTCCACCAGGGCTGCTGGGCACCCCCTGGCTGGTCTCTTGGACTAGGTAAGCTCATGGGTCCTCCGGCCGCTCCTGCTCTTTCCCTGCCTCTGCTCCTCCTCGGAGGTGGCCACCCCTAGATCCCAGTCCCAATTCGGAGGCCCCCTGAGGAGTGCTGCAGGGGGCCGCAGGCGTGGCTCTGAGCCACTCTGGAGGGGGGGGGGCCCAGCCAGTTCTGTGGCTGGGAATTTCCCAGGCAGACAAGTCTGTTTCTTCCTCCCCAGCGGGTGCAGCCCAGAACTGTCTTCTGAGGAAGAGGTGCTCTCCTGGGCCCCCACTGTCCCCAGGCCTCAGGTAAGCCCATCAGGGTCACAAGGAAGGGGGTCTGGATTTGAGGCCAACCATGGCAGCTGACCTACTTTCTAGCCTCAGTTTCCCCTAGTGTGTGCAGCTCTCACACTGTTTGGGTGAGAACCAGGCCTCTGGGCTTGGACATTCTTTCAGTGAGTTTTGAGGGTGGAGGGATGGGAAATGGAAGCCCAGGACCTCAGCAGGATGTCTTCCTCCGAGCCGGGGACATCTGCCTGTGGGAGGCTGGGCCCACCCTCCCTTGCTGACCTGCCCTGGGAGGAAGGGACAGGGCCCAGCACTGCCTACTCCCCTCCCTGTTCTTCCCAGCAGTCTGAGCCTGGCTGGATGCCCCCTGCTCCTCCAGGTGCCTACTTGGGCCTTTGGGTAGACAGATTAACAGACAGGGGAGGCTGGGTCATGGTTGGACCACCCCAGGACCCTGAACGGGGGCTCAGCTCATGACCCTGAGCCTGGGAGAGATGAGGCCATGCCCTCCAGGGCACTCAGCATGACCCGGCCCAGTGGACGGGACTGGGTAGCTTCCTTGGTGCAGGGGGCTGTCATGCTAGGACAGGGTCACTGACCAGGCCAGGCCCCTGCCCCATGACTTGTGGTGGAAATGTCCTTTTGTTTTTGTTTTTTGCTTTTTTTTTTGAGACAGAGTTTCCCTCTTGTTGCCCAGGCTGGAGTGCGGTGGTGCAATCTTGCCTCACTGCAACCTCTACCTCCCGGGTTCAAGCAATTCTCCTGCCTCAGCTCCTGAGTAGCTGGGATTACAGGCACCTGCCACCATGCCTGGCTAATTTTTTGTATTTTTAGTGGAGATGGGGGTTTCACCATGTTGTCCAGGCTGGTCTCCAACTCTTCACCTCAGGTGATCCACCTGCCTCTACCTCCCAAAGTGCTGGGATTATAGGCGTGAGCCACTGTACCCGGCCATGTGATGGGAATGTTCTGTGTCCATAATAGATGCTGCATATTGCTGGCCCAGCTCCTGAGGCTCTTTGGACCTCCAGGAATCGGTGTCTCTATCAGGAACCCTTAACCCTGACCCGGACTCCCGGCTGGGACCCGGGGTGTTGGAGTGGCAAGAGCGCTGTCAGGCCTGGTGAAGGGTGTGAGCTGTCCAACAGGGCAAGGAGGAGGCAGGGCCTGTTCTGTAGTTGGACAGACAGAGCCCTCTAGCTGCTTTCTGGAAGACTGAAGGGCAGGCGATGTTGGAGGGAGGGAGTGCAGGCAGGGGCTGTGAGGGAGTTCAGGTCAGAAACAGGTGGCGCCTGGATTCAGGCTGTGGTGGTCACGGTGGGGATGAGGGGCTGCTTTGGATTGTGCTGGGGATGTGGGGTGGTGCGCTGCATGACTACTGCCAGGTCTCTCTGCTCTTGGTGTCTGCATCCAGGGCTGGGAGGGGGTCAAATGTATCACACTATCGGCCCCAGGCCCACCAAGCCTGGGGAGGTGACCACCCTTCCACGATGGCATTTGGATGTTCCCTGTGTGTGGGGAGGGCACAGGGACTCCATTCCTAGACTACCTCTGGGACAGTGTGTCTACCTCTGAGGTCAGATGCTCTGCACTGGGACAGGGTGGAGTGGAGGGAAACCCAGCTTGGGGCTCATTGGAGGGGCTTGCTGGCAGACACCGCCCTTTGTGGGAAACTGACTGTGGGAGAGGGGAACCCCAACCTCTGTCACCACATCCCTCTTCCCTGTTGTCACACCTGTCACCTGCTGCCATAGCCATGAGACTTCCCAAGGGTCACTGCTGCCACTCACTGCACAGCCTGGAAGGGAGTCCACAGGGGACATAGAGTGAGCAAGAGACCTGTGCCACTCAGGCCTCCTGGGGGTGTCCCCAGTGCAGCCATGATGATAATCACAGCTACCATTCACCAAGTCCTGCCCACAGTCTAACCTACTCTATTCACAACACTCCCAGCAGCAAGGCAAGTGAGGTGCTGCCGTCATCCAGGCTGGACAGTTCAGTGATTTGCCTGAGGCCCCACAGCAGGTGAGTGGCAAGTCCAGCGTCAGAGCAGGGCAGGCTGGCAGTGCCCCTTGAGCCCCCTTTGCCATGCTTACCACATGCACATCCTGGGCTTCTGCAGGAATGCCCTGTCCCCTACCTGCCCTGCTCCATGCAAAACCCTCTTTGAGCTGTGCCTGGGAGACATGCTGAGAGAATTCATGGAAACAAATGTGTTACTGACAGCCTCTTTGCCTCCAGAGTTCAAATGGAGACAGAGAAACCAGCTAGAGGCAGAGGGAGGTAACACGGAGTCCCCCAGAAAGGTCTGGGCTGCGCGTGCTTCAGGTAACCTCCCTTGACCTTCAGGAGAACGAGAAGGCTGCCTGATCAGAGTCTCTGAAGAAGATTCTGTGGCTACAGGCTTCAGCAGAGTGTGAGGGAGACCCCAGTTGTTTCCTCAGGTGTTTCCACCAAATCCTCCTGTCTTTCGTGACCAACACCCCAGGCAAGGCTTGGGGCCCCCGTCTGCTGCTGGACAGTAAGTCCTGGCCCCGTGGCAGTGAATCTGTGGGGTGCTCTGATTGTGGGCACTATGGAAGCTAAACCCCATGCTCCAGGTGGGGTGGAGGGCCTTCAGAGGACTCCTGGACAGTGCCAGGCTCTAGGCTGAGGTGGGGGACACAGGAGAAACCAGGCCAGGCCCATCCCTACTGGAGCTTCTCCCTAAGCAGTGGAGGCTCAGCCACTGTGAGGAGGTAGGCAAGGCCCTGCAGAAAGAGGGGTGTGGAAATCTGGGGGCTCCCAGGAAGGGCCGCTGCTGGAGATGGGGTTCTTACCAGGATGGGCTCTGAAGATAAGCAGGGAGGATTTGGGAGGGCAGAGATGAGGCCCAGAGCTTCTGGCAGAGGGCATGGCCTGCACAAAGGTCTGGGGGCCGGACAGCCTGCACGTGTTCTGGGAAGCGGGAAGGAGACACAGGCCTTGTGTTTCTGAGGCCCAACTTTAGACTGTGCCCTGCTGGGGAGGTGCCAGGGAATGTCTGAGGCTGGGCCTGACCCTGCTCCTTACCCCATGGGAGCAGCAGAGCCATGAAGAAGAAGTTAGTGGTGCTGGGCCTGCTGGCCGTGGTCCTGGTGCTGGTCATTGTCGGCCTCTGTCTCTGACTGCCCTCAGCCTCCAAGGAACCTGACAACCATGTGTACACCAGGGCTGCCGTGGCTGCAGATGCCAAGCAGTGCTCGGAGATTGGGAGGTGAGCGGGGCAGGGCATGGGACATGGGCCCTGAAAACTGGGCAAGTGGACCTGAGCAATACCTTCACCCCTCTGAGACTCAGTTTTCCCACATGTAAGCTTTGCTTGGACTCTCTAAGTAGCCTTTGGGAAGGGGACGGTGACTCCGAGAGCAGGGTGTGGGTCTCTAGAGCCAAACAGGGCCCCTTTTCTCAGTTCTAAGAGTCTCTGTCTCTTTGGATAAACTCCACTGTTTTGTTGTTTGGTTGCTATTTTTACTTATTTCTTTCTTTCTATCTATCTATATCTATCTATCTATCTATCTATCTATCTATCTATCTATCTATCTATCTATCTATCTATCTATCTAGAGATGGAGTTTTGCTCTGTTGCCAGGCTGGAGTGCAGTGGTGCAATCTCAGTTAACTGCAACCTCCGCCTCCCAAGTTCAAGCGATTCTCATGCCTAAGCCTCCCATGTAGCTGGGATTACAGGCGTGTGCCACCACGCCCAACAAATGTGTGTGTGTGTGTGTGTGTGTGTGTGTGTGTGTGTGTGTGTGTGTGTGTTTCCGAGACAGAGTATCGCTCTGTTACCCAGGCTGGAGGGCAGTGGTGCAATCTTGGCTTACTGCAGCCTCCCCCTCCCAGGTTCAAGTGATTCTCCTGCCTCAGCCTCCACAGTAGCTGAGACTACAGGCATGTGCCACCATGCCCAGCTAATTTTTGTATTTTTAGTAGAGACAGGGTTTTGCTATGTTGGCCAGGCTGGTCTTGAACTCCTGACCTTGTGATCCTCCCACCTCTGCCTCTCAAAGTGCTGGGATTACAGGCGTGAGCCACTGTGCCCCACCAATCTTTCATTTGTTTTTAATACTCATTGAGAAACTCAGCATCTGTAGACATGAAGTTGCTCAGGGTAAGAGAATGCGGGAATCATAGGCTTGGCACCTTGTGGATGCTTAGAATCATTTATTTAACTAGAATGTATTGAGCATTGTCTTAAAGAATCAGCTGTTGTTCCTGAAGCTGGGGTGAAAAACAAAGATGGCAGATGAAATCTGTGACACTCCAGGTGGGAAAAGAACCTAGGCAGGTGCGGGTGTGTTACGGGCTGTAGAAAAACAGACCTGGAGGGCCTCAAAATCTGGGACTCTATGGAGGGTGACCTAGTCAGGGAAGGGGACATCTGAGCAAAGACCCAGAGGCAGAGATGGGGTCAGGGGAGTTATCTCCTGGTCTGCTATCCAGGTGTGATGGCAGGGACAGAGCCCTGTGGGGAGCTGGGGAGGCTGCAGCAAGTGACCCAAGGGAAATGGCCCAGGTTGTGTGGGATCACTTAGGTTATGGTGAAGCCTCTGCTTCCTGTCTGAGGGAAGTGGGGGCTCGTGGAGTGTGTGAGTGGAAGGGGATGGATCTGGCCTATGAACCCCTTGGATTGCTGTGTAAGGGGCAGGGAGCATGTGGGGACCTGTCCGGAGGTCACTGCAGTAATTCGTGGAGAGGGTGCTGGGAAGTGGCTGATGCTGGACAGACACACTTGGAAGTGGAGCCTGTGGATTTGAGGATGGGTTGGGTGTGATGCTTGTGTAGGGAGTCCCCGGGGACCCCGATCTTTTGTCTGTACCTGGAAGGATGGGGTGACCCTAATGGAGACAGGCAGGGTTCTCAGGAAGCAGGTTGAGCAGACACTCAGGAGCTCGGTTTTGGGCACGTTGAAGTTTGAGATGCTTTCTTCGAGCAGGCAGGTAGATACTCAGGTCTGGTTATCAGAGGAGCAGTCCAGGCCAGCAGGTCAATTTGGGAGTTGTCAGTGCATAAATGGAGGCTGAAGCTCAGATGTCAAGCAGACCACCAGGAGAGAGAGCAAAGACAGAGGGGAGAGTAGGAGCTAGGATGGCAGGCGGGGGATACTCGGGTGGAGACAGGTGATGGGATGCAGGGGAGGCTCTCAGGGAGAGTGATGAGCCCAGTAAAGCTGAGAGGGGCACTGGGTCTGGCAGTGTGGGGGTCACCAGAGAACTTGGCAAGTGTGGTGGCATGAGAGTCTGATTGGCCTGAGGTCAGGAGAAGATTTTTTTTCTGATATTGATACATGATATTTTCTATATTTATGGGTACATGTGAGTGCTTGTTACATGCATAGAGTGTATAATGATCAAAGCAGGGTATTTGGAGTCTCCGTCACCTTGAATATTTTTCATTTCTGGGTGTTAGCACCATAGTCCTCTCTTCATTACTTTGAAATATACAAAATACTGTTGCTAAGCATCGTCACCCTGGTCTGCTATCAAAGATTAGAACTTCTCCTGTCTTGGCTGGGCACGGTGGCTCATGCCTGTCATCCCAGCACCTTGGAAGGCTGAGGCGGGTGGATGACCTGAGGTCAGGAGTTTGAAACCAGCCTGGCCAACATGGCAAAACCCCATCTGTACTAAAAATACAAAAATTAGCCTGGCGTGCTGGCCTGTGCCTGTAATCCCAGCGACTTGGGAGGCTGAGGCAGGAGGATCGCTTGAACCTGGGAGGCGGAGGTTGTAGTGAGCTGAGATCATGCCACTGCACTGCAGTCTGGGAGACAGAGCAAGACTCCATCTCAAAAACAAACAAACAAAAAAACAAAACAAAACAAAAAAGAACTTCTGTCTAACTACAAGGTGGAAGGAATCATGTGCTGGGTGTCAGACCTTCCGGGATGTATGTGCAGCTTCTAGGAATTGAAACCACCAGCTCTTGGAAACTTGTGCCAGGCTTCAGGGTGGGAGAGGCAGTTCTAGAGCCGCAGCCGCCAAGCCAAGCCAAATGGCCCCATCATCTCTCGCAAGAGCAGGAGAATACCTGGGGGCAGAGGCCATAGTTGTACCTTTCTGGGCAAAGGGTCAGTGTCTGTAGTGTCCATATGGGCAGTGGGGCTCAGGGGGGAAGCAGGCCCAGGGGTCTGTTTCCAATGACCTCCTCAAAAGTCAGAACTGGAAGGCAAAACCCCTTATAGACTGGGTGCACCTGTAATCCCAGCATGTTGGGAGGCTGAGGTGGGAGGATTGCTTGAGGCCAGAGTTTGAGACCAGTCTTGGCAACGTGGCAAGACCCCTGTCTCTACAAAAAATAAAAATAAAAAATTAGGCTGGGAGTGGTGGCTCAGGCCTGTAATCCCAGAACTCTGAGAGGCTGAGGAGGATGGATCACCTGATATTAGGAGTTCAAGACCAGCCTGACCAACCTGGTGAAACCCCGTCTCTACTAAAAATGCAAAAATTAGCAAGGCATGGTTGTACATGCCTGTAATCCCAGCTACTTGGGAGGCTGAGGCAGGAGAATTACTTGAACTCGGGAGGTGGAAGTTGGAGTGAGCCAAGATTGTGCCATTGCACTCCAGCCTGGGCAACAAGAGTGAAACTCCATCTCAAAAAAAAAAAAAAAAAAAAGCCACATGTAGTGGGGTATGTCTGTAGTCTTAGGTACTTCAGAGGCTGAGGTGGGAGGATCGCTTGAGCCTGGGAAGCCAAGGCTGCAGTGAGCCATGATTGCACCACTTCACTCCAGCTGGGACAACAGAGTGAGACCTTGTCTCAAAACAGACAAACAAACAAAAACCCTTATAGTTGGATGGAGAAACTGAGGCTGGGAGAGGGGACAGGATGGAGGTTAAGGCTCAGTCTTGCCTCTCTGGGGCAGTAGAAAAGAGGAAGGGAGCCCTTTCTTGGGGCTGGCTGTGTCTTGAAGGTGGCCTGTGCTTGACCTGGGTCAGGGTGGGATCTGCTCTTGTTTTGGCACATTCTGGTGGAGCCCATGAGTCTTACAGGATAAGGCCTTGTGGTCAGTGAGATGGGAGGGGGTCTGGCCTGGCACAGGATTTTAGACATGTAGGCACCTGCACAGACAGATACCTCATCCTGGGACAGCAAAACCCAGCCACATGCTACTGCTTCCCCTCCTGTGCCCTCCTCAGACATCCCTGGTCCATGTACACTCCTACCTGCTGAGCCCCTCTTAAAAAAAAATTAAACATCCCCTCCTAAAAAAAAAATTAAAATTAAAAAATAAATAAAAAAATTAAAAATCCTCTTCTGCTGGGTGTGCTGTTCACGCCTGTAATCTCAGCTACTCAGGAGGCTGAGGTGGGAGGATTGCTTGAATCCAGGAGTTCGAGATCAGGCTGGGCAAGATGGCAAGACGCCAACTCAAAAAAGAAAAAAAAAATCTTTCCTCCTAAGCCTCATTGCCCCATCTGTAAAACGAGTCAGGGACTGTGCCTGGGATGCTGCCTGCGAGAGATCCCGATGTCCCCTACTCAGGGTCACTAACTGTGGCTCTCTCTCCCCAGGAGGGCTGTCGGTGGCAGTGCCTGGGGAGATCCGAGGCTATGAGCTGGCACACCAGCAGCATGGGCGGCTGCCCTGGGCTCGCCTCTTCCAGCCCAGCATCCAGCTGGCCCGCCAGGGCTTCCCCGTGGGCAAGGGCTTGGCAGCAGCCCTGGAAAACAAGCGGACCGTCATCGAGCAGCAGCCTGTCTTGTGGTATGTCTGTGGGTGCAGCCCCCTGACACAGGCAGGGCAGGCACAGCCCAAGGACCTTGCAGGCCGTAGCAGCAGTGGAGCGGCCCTCTGCCTTCAGGACCCTGCGCTGATAATGGGATGAGGAGATACAGACCCTTCCCACCACATGTGGGGACACATTCTGAGCATGGGGTCCCAGTGGCCACTGTGGCTGGCCATGTGTCCTGAGTGGCAAGGGACACTAGGAGGTTCCCGGAAGGGACACTAGGAGGACGAGCGCTGAGTGACAGGGCCACCCACCCGTGACAGGCGCTGCCCCTGCTTTGTGCTGGTCTCCTGTGTGGGCAGGTGTGGGGGTTGGTCTAGCTAAGTCCACCCCACCTGCTGCCTCACATGAGCCCCCTCTGCCCCAGTGAGGTGTTCTGCCGGGATAGAAAGGTGCTTTGGGAGGGGGAGAGACTGATCCTGCTGCGGCTGGCTGACACCTATGAGACGCTGGCCATTGAGGGTGCCCAGGCCTTCTACAACGGCAGCCTCATGGCCCAGATTGTGAAGGACATCCAGGCGGCTGGTGAGTGGGTAACCTCAAGGGCCTGGGTGAGGAACTCTGCAGTGGAAACCCTGAGCTGTAGCCCAGAGCCATGGGGTCCTCCTGTCTTGCCTGAGCCTGCAGGAAGTTCCTGGTGGAGGAGGGTCAGTGACTGGCCATGTGGGTCCACAGCTCCTGCTTATATCAAAACCAAGAGAGGCCACACAGTCCAGGAGAGCAAGTCCCTGTTGGGGTAAATGCAGGTGTAGGCAAGAGCCAGGGCTAGGGAAGCGCTAGAATACAGCCTGAAGATCCAGGAGGACTTCTTGGAGGAGGTGGTGGCTGGGCTGCAGATAACTTCGTTAGGCAGAGAGAGGAAGGGATTCCTAGCAGAGGAACAGCTGGGCTAAGGCCCAGTAGAGGGGGCTTTGATTCACCAAGAGGGTTACAAGGGATGAGGGTTGCTTTGAGAGAGGCATGGGGAAGGGGATTTGTGGAGCAGGGGCCTGGAGCTTGGCTGTGGCTTTCTTCAGGTAATTTTTGTCACTGTTTCATGGAGGAGGGTGATTAGCGTGTCAACCTTTACCACTGAGGCTGGAAATTGGCATGCCAATACCCTGTCTGTCTGGAGCTGACTCCAGGAGAATTAAGAGCCTCCCTCCCTCCCTCTATCCATTCATCGTGAGGAGAAGAGGCCAAGCAGCAGGGACACCGGCAGGAATTCTCCAGTTAGAAAAGGCCCTCTGAGCCAGGTGCGGTGGCTCACGTCTGTAATCCCAGCACTTTGGGAGGCCGAGGTGGGTGGATCACCTGAGGTCAGGAGTTCAAGACCAGCCTGGCCAACATGGTGAAACCCTGTCTCTACTAAAAATGCAAAATTAGTCAGGCATGGTGGGTTGTGCCTGTAATCCCAGCTACTTGGGAGGCTGTGGCAGGAGAATCGCTAGAACCTGGGGGGCTGAGGTTGCAGTGAGCCGAGATTGCACCACTGCACTCCACAGAGTGAGACTCCATCTCAAAAAAAAAAAAGAGAGAAAAGGCCCTCTGAGGCCAAGCTTGGTGTCTCATGCCTGTAATCCCAACACTTTGGGAGGCTGAGGTAGAAGTTGAGGCCAGGAGGTCCAAGACAAGCCTGGGCAACATAGTGAGTCTACAAAAAAAATATTGAGAATCTGCATAAATATAGTGGGGGTGGGGGTGGGGAACAAGAAAACAAAAAATTCAAAGCATAGTGAAAAGAAATATAGCAAAACCCAGCCGGGCATGGTGGCTCACGCCTGTAATCCCAGCACTTTGAGAGGCCGAGGCATGTGGATACGGGGTCAGGAGATTGAAACCATCCTGGCTAACACAGTGAAACCTGTCTCTACTAAAAATACAAAAAAATTAGCCAGGTGTGGTGGCGGGTGCCTGCATTCCCAGCTACTTGGGAGGCTGAGGCAGGAGAATGGCGTGAACCTGGGAAGCGGAGCTTGCAGTGAGCCAATATCATGCCACTGCACTCCAGCCTGGGCGATAGAGTGAGACTCCGTCTCAAAAAAAAAAAGAAATATAGCAAAACACAACAAAAAAAATTAAAATTTGCTGGGTGTAGTTGTGCCTTTAGTCTCAGCTACTGGGGAGGGTCTGCTGGAGGATCACTTGAGCCCAGGAGTTCAAGGCTGTTCAACAGCCCTTCATGCTAAAAATTCTCAATAAATTAGGTATTGATGGGACGTATCTCAAAATAATAAGAGCTATCTATGACAAACCCACAGCCAATATCATACTGAATGGGCAAAAACTGGAAGCATTCCTTTTGAAAACTGGCACATGACAGGGATGTCCTCTGTCACCACTCATACTCAATAGAGTGTTGGAAGTTCTGGCCAGGGCAATCAGGCAGGAGAAGGAAACAAAGGGTATTCAGTTAGGAAAAGAGGAAGTCAATTTGTCCCCTTTTGCAGATGACATGATTGTATATAAAGAAAACCCCATTGTCTCAGTGCAAAATCTCCTTAAGCTGATAAGCAACTTCAGCAAAGTCTCAGGATACAAAATCAATGTACAAAAATCACAAACATTCTTGTACACCAATAACAGAAAAACAGAGTGCCCAATCATGAGTGAACTCCCATTCACAATTGCTTCAAAGAGAATAAAATACCTAGGAACCCAACTTACAAGGGACATGACGGACATCTCCAAGGAGAACTACAAACCACTGTTCAATGAAATAAAAGAGGATACAAACAAATGGAAGAACATTCCATGCTCATGGGTTGGAAGAATCAATATCGTGAAAATGGCCATACTGCCCAAGGTAATTTATAGATTCAATGCCATCCCCATCAAGCTACCAAAGACTTTCTTCACAGAATTGGAAAAAACGACTTTAAAGTACATACGGAAACAAAAAAGAACCCGCATCGCCAAGTCAATCCTAAGCCAAAGGAACAAAGCTGGAGGCATCACGCTACCTGACTTCAAACTATACTACAAGGCTACAGTAACCAAAACAGCATGTTACTGGTACAAAAACACAGACATAGATCAATGGAACAGGACGGAGCCCTCAGAAATAATGCCGCTTAACTACAACTGTCTGATCTTTGACAAACCTGAGAAAAACAAGAAATGGGGAAAGGATTCCCTATTTAATAAATGGTGCTGGGAAAACTGGCTAGCCATCTGTAGAAAGCTGAAACTGGATCCCTTCCTTACACCTTATACAAAAATTAATTCAAGTTGGATCAAAGACTTACATGTTAGACCTAAAACCATAAAAACCCTAGAAGAAAACCTAGGCAATACCGTTCAGGACATAGGCATGAGCAAGGACTTCATGTCTAAAACACCAAAAGCAATGGGAGCAAAAGCCAAAATTGACAAATGGGATCTAATTAAACTAAAGAGCTTCTGCACAGCAAAAGAAACTACCATCAGAGTGAACAGGCAACCTACAAAATGGGAGAAAATTTTTGCAACCTACTCATCTGACAAAGGGCTAATAACCAGAATCTACAATGAACTCAAACACATTTACAAGTAAAAAACAACCCCATCAAAAAGTGGGTGAAGGACACGAATAGACACTTCTCAAAAGAAGACATTTGTGCAGCCAAAAAAACACATGAAAAAATGCTCATCATCACTGGCCATCAGAGAAATGCAAATCAAAACCACAATGAGATACCAACTCACACCAGTTAGAATGGCGATCATTAAAAAGTCAGGAAACGGCAGGTGCTGGATAGGATGTGGAGAAATAGGAACACTTTTACACTGTTGGTGGGACTGTAAACTAGTTCAAACATTGTGGAAGTCAGTGTGGTGATTCCTCAAGTATCTAGAACTAGAAATACCATGTCACCCAGCCATTCCCTTACTGGGTATATACAGAAAGGACTATAAATCATGCTTCAATAAAGACACATGCACACGTATGTTTACTACGGCAGTATTCAGAATAGCAAAGACTTGGAACCATCCCAAATGTCCAACAACGATAGACTGGATTAAGAAAATGTGGCACATATACACCATGGAGTACTATGCAGCCATAAAAAATGATGAGTTCATGTCCTACGTAGGGACATGGATGAAACTGGAAATCATCATTCTCAGTAAACTCTCGCAAGGACAAAAAACCAAACACCACATGTTCTCATTCATAGGTGGGTATTGAACAATGAGAACACATGGACACAGGAAGGGGAACATCACACTTCGGGGACTGTTGTGGGGTGGGGGGAGTGGGGAGGGATAGCATTAGGAGATATGCCTAATGCTAAATGACGAGTTAATGGGTGCAGCACACCAACATGGCACATGAACACTTATGTTACAAACCTGCACATTGTGCACATGTATCCTATAACTTAAGGTATAATAATAAAATAAAATAAAATAAAAAAACAAAATATACACTAATACAGATTAACCAACTTAAAAAAATAGTAGAGAAAGGTCATTTAAAAAATATGAGGAATAGAGTAATAATCTAACACGTTGAAATCTAAGAAGGAGAAAACAGCTTGTCTGAACAGCATTTTAAGTGGCAATGTTAGAGGTTTTATCAAAATTGACCAATAATATTAAACCTCAGGTTCAGGAGACTTTTCAAAGCAAAGGAAAACACACACAGAGGACACATCTAGAAACATAATGGGACAATTTCTGAAAAGTAAAAGAAAAATGTAAAGAGCACTTGATAAAAAAATTGGGCTAACTACAAAGAGAAAGAGTTGACTGATAACAACTTCCTCAAATGAATCAACGAAAGCCAACAAGTGAGGTACTGATATCTTTCAAGTCCTGAAATAAAATAAGTGCTGACCTAGAACTGTCTACTTGGTGGACATATCCATCAAAAGCAAAGATACAATAAAGAATTTCTCCCAAGCAGACCCACAGGAAAAGAAATACTAAAGATTATTCTTCAGGTAGAAGAGCCATGATCCCTGATGAAAGTTTGCATTTAGAAGAACAATTTTTTTAATGAAAGAAATAAACATAGAGAGAAATTTAATTGGATATCGACTGTATAACAGAATGCTATCTCATTAAGTTTAAAATGTATCTTCCATACAACGGCAGAAGCATATAAGTTGTGAGTTGGATAAATTAATTTTAAAATATTGTCAAGTTTTTTTTTTTTTTTTGCAAATAGACAAATGTACCAATTATATTAGACCCTGAATTCAATAATGCACGTTGTATTAAACCAGGTAAAATATAACCAGACCAGATTTTTAAAATGGACTCTAAGTTTTTATAATTTATATTCATATTTCACATATGTTGAAAGTAAATAATGGAAAAGCATGCAATGCAAATATTAACCAAAATATAGCTTTAGTTGTACTTATATTCACATTTTAAAAGTTGGACACAGTTAAGTCTCAGTGATTTTTTTACACAACGGAGGCAAGCTGTGCAGTTATAAATAGTATTATATTATGCTCTTGGCCTGATTACAGAAGGGAAAGGGGCGATCATACCAGACAATGGCAGAATGAAGCAACAAGGAGTAGAGTTACACAACATGATGCTGTAACTGGGACTGGAGTTACTCTTTTAGAGTTAAAGAATAGTAAACTGGACAAAATATATGAAACATTTTTTTGAAGTACTGAACATCAGGCAGCACAGGACTCTGCTCTGCAAGAGAAGAGAAGGAGCCAGAATGAGTCCTGCTTTATTCTCAGATTTTCCGTGACAGCAGTAGAGAGGAATCCTAGAGAGAGCAGACATTCTCATTGCACTGAGGAACCAGATAAAAATCAAAAAAGGTTAAGTAGCTGGAATGTGTAGTAGAAGAGAACGTTTACAGAAAAAGGAATCAGGAATCAGCCTAAGGATTCTCCCAAGTCCCTAAGCCAAATGTACATAGGATGAAATTCTAAGGAGCTCAGCAAAGGACTCTACCAGGGAGTTGGAAGAAGAACACTTCCCTGGCATCACATGACAGGAAGACACGTTAGCTCTGACAAGCCAGAGAAGGGAATCCCCTCTGTACCTCCAGGATATTCAGTAAAGACCACTGGAGGTTCATGCCCTAGTGACAGTGCTCATTTAGCTCCAAATTACAGATGGCTCTAGACTAACTCCACAAAGTTTAAAGAGAAGATTTAAAACAACAACAGACAAATACTCATCCTGAAGTTACTGAACTGCCTGCCACAACATTGTTCAAAAGTAGCCAATAAAATCTAGATATTCAATAGCATAACATCAAAATACCCAAAAAAAAAACTCTGACATGCAAAGAAGCCGTAAGATATATACAATTAAGATATATATTAACAGGATAAAAATAAGTCATTTATAAATGACAGAAAAGAAGGAAATTTCAAGGTCCTTAAAGTAAATATATTTTATAAATACATATAGATAAATACATATATATGTCAAGGTACTTAAATGAAAATTGAACATAGGAGAAAAATAGAAGTTATAAAATGAAAAATGGGGCATGTATAGATGAAAAATAAATATTTTAAATAAAAATTCCATGAGATTGAATAAGTAATGGATTTTACCCTAACATCAGAAAATTTATAGAACAAAATAGAAGCTTTACAAACTAAAGGACAAAGGGTAAACTAAAATAAGAAAGCCAGAAACTCACTGATACGTCAGACAATATGCAGCAGTGTAACATACATGTAATTAATATCTCAAAAAGGATGGGTAAAGGAATTACAGGTGAATAAAGAATGGTACACTCATTCCTGAGGGCACCGAGGAGGGAGGATAGCTTTAGATTTCTAAGGGAGGGTATTATCCATTCATGAAGGTCCAACCCCATGACCAAACACCTCCCAGTAAGCCCCACCTGCAACATTGGGGATCAAATTTTAACATGAGATTGGAAGGGGCAATCATTCAAACCATAGCAAGAGTTAAATTTCCTTTTTTAAAAAATCACTGTTATGATTCCATTTCACCATAGATAAAAGCTAGTATTTCAGCCTACCATTGAGTGTGCTTATAGCTCACCAAAAGGGCACTCTGTCTCGGGAATACAGATTTGCCTAGAGGTATCCTAGTGCAGTCAAAGAGCAATGAGGGATAGAAAAGGTTAGTGATGGAGACACCAGCGCTGCATTTTGCAACAAACAATGTAAAAATTTTACGGATTGGTTCAGCTAACTTACTACAGTTTACATTCCTCTCAGGTGGGAGAATTGTTGCGTTTTTTCTTAAGATAGAAAAGCAATTCAGATAATCTGAAATCTCCACAAGAAGGATAAGAAGCACAGGAGAAACTATTCTAGGCAGGAGGTCAATCCTTTCAACTGTCTGTGCTCCATAGAAACAATTGTCTGCACTGGGAGTCATATGAGGTACAGACAACAGCCAGACCTCTAATCCTCTCATTAGTGATTTCAGAAGAAATTACCAGTCAACTGAGTAATTCACTGAGTAAAGTAAACATTTGGCACTGAAAGAGGTTAGACGGATAACTATTTGTATCACCATATTCATGAGGCTGAAATATTTTCCATTACTGCTATCACATCCGAATGGAAGATGTTAAAAGGTCTCTCATCTTGTAAGATGGATATGAAAGAACATTTTCTGAGAAATGAAATTATTAACACACCTGCGAGGTGGATGGAAGAGAAAAAAAGAATAATCAGCTTGAGTTCTTCTCCTTGATAAGATAACTCACTAAAAACATAAAGAGAAAAATACAAGTTTAAAATAATTAACCAGAAGAAGACGACTCTACAGTTTTTAAATTGCTGATAAGATTTTAATTTGCTCCAAGTTGAAAATAATTATATTGCTTGTGTTTTAAGGCACATAATGAGCAATTATATCACACATGATAGTTTCAACAGTAAAATATTATCCATTAACAGCTGGAACTCATAAAAGCATAGCACAATGTGAAGATTGAATTTGCTAAAATAAACCATCTGCTGAAAACTACTATTCTGCAAATTTAAAAATAAAGTTTAAATGTTACTTGTCTTATTTAATAGGTCTGTGAAAAAATGCGCTATTTGAAAAGTAGGTGCTACCTTAATTACTTCTTTATATTAGATGGCTGGTTACAGTAATGCACAACAAGGTGCTACATAGATACATTGCTAAATTTTCTGCATATACTATGTATTTGGCTTAAATTATTTGAAGTTTTATAGTTAAAATAACAAATGTATATTTAAATTTTTTGACACAAATTGCAAATATACCTTTAAAAATCATCTTACACTCTAAATATTATTTGTCACCTATATATTTGTCTTTTCTCTATAGGAAAGTTTAAATTTTTCCCTTGAAGCTTTAATTATTTGAGTCTATAAAACAAACTGATAATGTACAAATTAACAGGAAAAAAGTTTACAGATATGTGCACAAGTATGCACTTGGAGTTTACATTATATATAAATATATCTATACAAATATTTGTATACTATAAATAGATATACGAATATATACTATATATATAAAAACTCCAGGAAAGGCAAGGTAGTCAACACGCCTATGCTGTCTTGAGGTTACAGAAAACACAGAGCTGTAGGTTGGTAAATCAGGCTTTGCGGAAGACAAGTGACGACAAGGAAGAAAGAGGAGCCTGGCAGCAGAGGTGGTCTTGTTACATGGATGAAACCTCAAAGGGAGCAGCCCTCCTCTTGGGAAGTATAGATAGGAAATGGTTTTTAGAAATGTAAACGTGCCAGGCTCAGTTAATCTTTCCTAAACCCAGACAAGGGAGTATCTCAGGGAAAGCCTGTCTATATCAATGCAGATTTTCTCTAGAAATGCAAACTCCCCAACAAACACAGCTTTTCAGCTATTCTTGTAGAAGATGCTATCTCCAGTCTTCCGAGTAGCCATCTTGAAATATGTCAAAAAGCTGCCCAGGCGCACGCCTGTAATCCCAGCACTTTGGGAGGTTGAAGTGGTTAGATCACCTGAAGCCAGGAGTTGGAGACCAGCCTGACCAACATGGTGAAACCCCGTCTCTACTAAATACAAAAAATTAGCCGAGTGTGGTGGTGCATGCCTGTAATCTCAGCTACTTGGGAGGCTGAGCTAGGAGAATTACTTGACCCTGGGAGGCTGAGGTTGCAGTGAGCCAAGATTGTGCCATTGCACTCTAGCCTGGGCAATAAAAGCAAAACTCCATCTCAAAAAAAAATGTATTTTAGGGTAATATTTTGAGTATCTTTACCTCCATATGTACAATAAATATTATTGTGATTTTTAATCTTTGCTGTGGAGAAAACACATGTGTGATTTCTAGTGTAGCTGAACATCGTTTATTTGACAATATTGCACTTGTGTGTGGGTGTGTGCCTGTGTAGCTACTCTTTAATTTTGTTCTCACATAATGATTAGATATTAACAATTCATTCAGTAAAATGTATGTTTTGCAATATTTCTCCATGTTATTATGCTTTAAATTAGTTTAATCATGCCCCTATAATGTGTACATTTTAACCTTTGACTATAGGTCTCAATCTTACTTTGGTTCCTGTATTTGAATTTATGCTAATAAAGTCTTACAGCTAAAAAAGATGATATAAACTAATCTACATTTTTACTAGTATTCTGGTGTCACTTTAAATTATGTAGTGAAATCAAATTTTAATTTGGATTATTGTTATCTGAGTTAAGGATCTAAATTTTTAATTTTATTATAAATATTACATAATTATTTCTGAACCATATGTTGAGTAATCTGCCCTTTATATGATGTGCATTATAAGAGCTTGGGATTGTTTTATTTGCAAAGATGAATGCTTGAGAAGTAGATATTTAATCATAACATTTCAAAATCTACTGGATAACCTAGAATTGAAAAATAGCCTATAGGTTGAAAAACTCCTGTAGTGAAGAAAGAAAATAACTAATATACAGTGACAATATAAATATTATAAGTATTTATTTTATTATCACCCTGAAATTTGATAATACAAAAATGTAATATCTACACATCATCCATATATCAGGTCGTAAAAAATCAATACATTCTTCAAAAATTTAGCATAACAGAAAATGCACTCTCTCTCCTTGATGGAATTAAGTTACCAATAAAAGTAAAAATTAGTAGATAAGTAGATGGAAGTAGATGTTTAAAAACAAAGAAAAATATTTGTTTTGGATAACATAAAATCTCAATTGACAATTCCAATATTTCCAGAACTTTGCCTGTCAACTGGTGGAGAGTTTTCCCCAGGAGACATTTGTCAATGTCTAGGGTTATTGTGGGGATGTCAAGACTGGTGGAGGTGTGAAATGTAGAGGTCAAATGAAACACCTAGCATTGCTAGGGCAGCCTCCCACAACAAAGAATCCTCTGGTCCTAAAGGTAAGTAGCACCAAGGGTGAGATACCATAATCTAGACAGTAAACACTACGTAGCTATTCCAAGTGCTCAGGAAAACACATCAGTGCCCTCGAGGGGAAAAGTGTGAACATTTTAATTGCCGTACATGGTGACACAAATCCATGTTGTTGATCTAAGTGGAAGGGGCTGAAGCACAAAACGTAATTCAAAGAGTTTACTTGATCCACAATGAGGACAGATGCCTGGAAGAAACAGACCCAAGTATCCTTGGATATGAACTCCCTTTGGAGCTTTGCAACAAGCAGTTTCTTAAAGGCAAAAAAGGGTCCAGAAGTGGGATGATCCAAAGAGGTTTGTCACAAATTCTCATTGGCTTATGGAAATAACATTTATTAGTGACTGGCTATACACTGTTACACTAATATTGGGTGTGGATTATAGTGTCTGGAGTGGCGTTATTGGTTAATTTATAGCTACTGTGGCAACAGCAAGCAGCCTAGATGAACACACAGCTCAAAGAGGAGCAGGACAGAACTGCCGTCTCATTTGAATATCTCTCTGGGCCTGATTATTTAAAAGGACTTGCATTTCTCACATGAAAGTTATTTTCTTTTCTCAATGTCCATAAATGAGAATAAATAGATGTAAAATAGATCTTTTCGAGGATGAAGTAAATGGAATGAAAAACAAAACCCAAGCTGACCAGAAATCATAGAGGGAAGAAAAGGTTATAAATATATGGATTTTTCAAAGTGATTTTAAGCTATTAGGAATCAGTTAAATGTTGGGGGATTTTGTCTGAGAATGGGCTAAAGGAGAATGTCCCTTTTGCCTTCTGAAGTTTCCCTGAAAATCACTAATAGGAGGCAGATAAATAGTAGAAAAGGCATACAGGTTTCTGCAATGTGTGTACACTGGAGCCCTTAGAACGTAGACCCAGACACACGATGCGTGCAGAAGCTTATCTACCACATGAAGTTTACAGAAAGAATGGGGTCTTGGATCACAGGGAAAAAAAAAAAAGGTTATGTGAGAAAACGACCCTGGCTAGCAACAGTGGGCTTATTACACAGGTGGAACCTCACTGGGAGCAGTCCTCAGAGAGAATAGAGAAAAAATGTTTCTTTCAGACCTTTGGAGACCTCAGACTCTCAGTTAACCTTTCCTAGATCCAGACAAGGGGGCAGACCTCAGAGAAAGCCTGGCTGCATCAAGGCAGATTCTCTACCGATGCAAAGCTCCCCAAGACAGCTTTGCAGCTAAGTTTGCATTTCCAGCCCTTCTCAATAGCCATTTTGAAATATATCAAGGAAATATATTTAGGGGTAAAATATATTAGTTTCCCTCATACAGCTATAAAACATACAGGAATAATTTTTGTCAATGTCTACTACAAATCCAATATAGCAGTAATTATAAAACTCACCAGATATTGAAGAAAAAATATATAGAGTACATCAATTACAAATGTTGATACTAAAATGCCAAATAAAATAAAAATAACATCCAACAATATTTGAAACAGTAAGACACGAAATTGGCAAACAAAATAAAACAAATATCCACCTTGGGGATGAAAGTGTGTTTCCAAATTTGGTAATCCACTAATATTAACAATCATGTTGATTAGCCCAAATTAAAAATAAATAGGGGATTCTCAGTACATGCTAAAATATATTTGTTAAAAGGCAATATTCATGTCTTTAAAGATTTTAAATGCTATAAAGAGTCTGATATTCTATATGCAAACATGTGTATGTCCATTAGAAGAATAGAGGCCTGATTTTCATATGTTACTACATAGAGATAGAGAAGTGGATAGATTAATTTGCATATGCAAAGAGAAAGCATAAAATAGAAATTTACTATCATATTAAAGGAATTTTAATTCAACAATAAAATAAATCAAAGGTAAAATTTTAAATATTTTTAACAGGTACATTATTAATATTAGATAATATTTATAATAATTGTGAAAATATTCAATGCTAAAATAAGATACAATGTCTAAACATCAGTATTAAAACTAGTATAAATATTTGCTTGTTTATACAAGGAAAATTCAAGCTCGACCTAAAATTATATAGGAAATAAAAGAAAAATTTTAAGGGAGCTCTTTAATAACATAAACATATATATATATATATATAGACACACACATATAACATGTATATATGTTATATGGGATAGATATAGATTTAACATGTTATATCTATATTTGTATCTATAACTACAGCTGTATGTATCTACATTTCTATATATACACTCAGTAATATAAATATAGACGAATAAATATAAAGACACATATGATTCGTGGATAAAAAGGATTTAGTACCATAAAGACAAATTCTTTCCAAATTCACTTATGAATTCACAATATACAGTTTCATTAGTATAATTTAAAATTTTTAAATAATTTCCAAGATTCATTTAAAGGAATATACATGTATACAAGCAGTCAAGAAAGAAGCAAGAGTGCGCTAAACTAACTTGCTATTAAAATACATTTTTAAACTTAGTAACTAAAACTGAGCAGTACTGATTTGGAGTACTGGAATTTAGGTATATGGGATCTCAAAAGCGCAGAGCTCAAAGGAGACCCCTGTATGCACGAGAGATTAGGATGTGCTTTAGAAGGCATTACCAAACCACGGGCAAAGTTACTTTAGTGTCTTAGTCTTACTAGGTTTGAAAAGCCACAGAAAAGACTCAAGACCACCATATAGGAACAAAACAAAAGGACAGGGAGAGAATGTGAAGATACTGAAACATTTTACATAAAGTTGTATAAAACATCCTTTAAAGAAAATATAAAGTTTAGGATATACATCAAAATCAGCAGAGCCACTAAATAAATAAATAGGCATTGTAAAATAGCAAGAGAAAATTTAAATGGGTTTCTAAAAAATATTGACACCTATGATTTTTAAAATATGTTTAAGAAATCCCATATTTTACAGGGCAGCCTTTCACAACGCAGATATGTTAGGACATAAAGGTCCTTCTGTTTTTAATTTACTAGTGTTTATAGGGTTACAAATGTCTTCTACCCTTGTCTTTTGTCTGATGGTGCAAAAAATTTTCATAAGCATGTATTTCTGAATTCCTGATGGATTGACATATATAATATGCTGCTAGTATTAAAATATGTGACGGAAAAGGCATCCAATCTTCTCACTGTTTACATAAATTCTAGGTTTCTCCTATTTACCTCAAGCACGTATGGAGCGAATTCTTACCTTTTAATATTGCCATGGCATTCACATTGAACATAAGTTGAACTCTCTCATATGGTAGCTGGGTTCAGATTCCCTTGACAATTTCCAGTTCTAACCCTCACAGTTCCTCAGTGTGGCTGGCCCAGATATTGACCCTACACAGTTGCCTCCCTCCTGGTGACTACCAGCTATGGAACCGTTGGATACAACCTACCTGACTCACCCCACAGACCTCACAGCGCACATGGACAGCCCCCACACGCCAGAGTGACCTGCTCGGTTGCAGCGGGAGTCAAGAAATGTGCCTGCTGGCACTCTCCCCACCGACTAGTGCCCCGTGGAAAACTTATTTGGGTAATGTTCTGGGCCCAATAAAAGCTAGAGTCCCACAGACCCCTTTTCTCTCTCCTGTTCCCCACTCATCTTCCCCATTTTGTTCAGCCCTATGAGGTGTGCTACTGTATTAGTCCATTTTCACACCACCGGTAAAGACATGCCCAAGACTGGGTAATTTCTAGAAGAAAGAGGTTTAATACATGCACAGTTCCACATGGCTGGGTAGGCCTCACAATCATGGCGCAAGGTGAAAGGCACGTCTCACATGGCAGCAGACAAGACAAGAGAGCTTGTGCAGGGAAACTCCTCTTTATAAAACCATCAGATCTTGTGAGACTTATTCACTATCAGAAGAACAGCATGGGAAATACCTGCCCCCATGATTCAATTACCTCCCACCTGTTCCCTCCCACAACATGTGGGAATTCAAGATGAGATTTGGCTGGGGACACAGCTAAACCCTCTCTTCAGCTACCCTCTTCTCTCTGGATCTGTGAGTAATAAACCTACTTCTGTGATTTCCCATGTTTGGTTCTGTGGCCTCCATGTGTCTGAGCTGACCTACACTGGAACCTAACTCTCCTCCTGGCCAGGGTCTCTGAGAGTGGCTCTTGTCAGAAATACACAGGGCACAGGTCAGGCAACAGTCACCAGGCATCTCCTAGTCTCAACAGATGTTCTGTGAGAGGGAGGCCTGGTCGTGGGATGCACACCTGGCCACTGCTGGAGTAAGGAAGTGTCCTGTGAAAGGGACATGTTAAGCATCCACAACCCCCTGACCAGAACCCCAGAAAGGCAGGGCTCCAATTGATGGTCACTCTCCAGAGACAAACCTCAAGCCCTAACTGGAGGAAAAGAAAACAATGTAAAAGTTGAATTTATCTTACTATTTCAATGATCCAGTAAAGACATTCTATGCCTGTACACCACATATTTTCTTCGATTGTGGATTTATTTTAGATAGAATTGTAGGTCTGGCTTTCACTTTAGCCTGGTCCCTACCTCAAGCATAAGGTAAAGATTTTCCATGGGTTCTTTTCTGGTACTACTACCTGCCAGTGTGGGGTCATGTCCTAGTCTATCTTGAGGGAATCCCCCTGTTCATTATTGTCAGAGTGAGACTGTTAAGTCTTGATTTCCCTGGACAACTTCACTGCATGACTTTTAATATGATTTTTTAATATACCCTTTACTGGACAATAAATTATATAGTTATCTGAGTAAGAGATATGGTCAGGAAGAGGCATTGCCTCATTCACCTTTTCTCTTTGGTGAACTCGCATATGTTCTCCTCACCCGCCAGTCACCTCTAAACCGTATTGTTCCAAGACAACAAACAGAACTCGAGTGTGTATCTTTCACCACTGGATTTGTGTTTGCTCCATAAAGCTTCGTGCTTAATAGGGTTTCTGTTAGCATTTTCTCTATTTATTTTCCCATAAAATATCACAGGCCTTCTTCATATGGAATTATGGGTGATTTCCTTCAATCTGCATCATATCAAGTTGAGGTTCATGTTGATGAAAAGTAAAACATACGTTGAAAATATCAGTAAGGATGTTTTCCCCTCCTTTTTAGCACCTGTGCTTGTGATACAAGCACATTTTAATACAATTGTAGTCTCATGCTTTGATCATTCCTATGATGAAAATAACATTTTTAGATAAAATATCTGAGTTTTATGAGGCCTTTAGTATGTGAAGTGATAGAATATCAGAAGACCATACTTTTTTCTAGTTTTCCGTGCAATTCTATCACTGTTTCATCTTTACTCCTACCAGAGTAATTTTCCAAAATAGATATCTTGTCATTCTTCCTGTTGTTATCAGTAAATAAGTGAAATGAAAAGCTAGATTATATAATTTATCTAGAACAAGAAAGTAGAATTGAATCTATATTCATTAATGAGACTAACCAGTCAATTACACAGATAGGCATTTTACATTTTGAAGATCATATGGACCCATTGTCAGAAATATTATTATTTATGTCTATATGGACATCACCTGTGCATATTTACATAGAAATCAATGAGAGCTGATTTTTATTTTTATTATATATATTTTTTGAGATAGGGTCTTGCTTTGTTGCCCAGGCTGGAGTGCAGTGGTGCAATCACTGCTCACTGCAGCCTCAGCCTCCCAAGCTCAAGCAATCCTTCCACCTTGGCCTCCCAAATAGCTAGGACAACAGGTGCACATCACCATGCCCACTTTTTTTTTTTTTTTAAACTTTTGATAGAGACTGGGTCTTTCTATGTTGCCCAGGTTGCTTTTGAACTCCTGGGCTCAAGGAATCCTCTCATTTCAGCCTCTTCAACTGCTGGTATTACAAGCATGAGCCACCATATGGGCTGGAAGCTGATTTTTAAAATACTGAGATCATATAGATGACAGCACCTGAAAAATAGACAACACCAAGCTTTATGTTAAAAGGTGTGAGTGTATCAATATTGTGGTGGCTATTGGGGAGGAAAACATTAGTAAAACCAGTAAGTTAAAGCTCTTGCTTTAAACTTTGGCTTTAATTTAACAAATGTTCTATGGAGTGACAGTATGTATGTAACCATGCTATGCCCATTCACAGATGCAGTAGAGGGAAGAATTTCTCAAAGACAACTGTTCTAAGACTCCAATTAAACCGTACTGGGTTTGAAAAGAGAAAGTCCAGGAATTACCAAATATTTTAGATATCAGATAAAAGAGAATGCCAGGTATGCAATGATAATCAGCAATGGTTGTTCACACAATACATCAAATCAGTATTTGAATTAGCTTTTGAATTACAAGGACAAATGGATCAAGTCTAGACTCTTTAGTAGATAAATCTTATTAGGCTGAGATGTGTTTTCCCCTGTTTTTCCACAAGGAGATTACAAATTTGCAAACCTCAGCTGCTCTCATTTTATGCTCTCACCAAGCCAAAAGCTGAAGTTCATCAATCAGTGTGTCTAAGTGTTCACTGGTTATATACCATTTTGTAGTTTCAGCTATCTTTCCAACTTCCTAAATCATCACCTTCATTTGATCTTGTTTTTTTCCACTATCACTTCTTTATTGACCATATAAAGAATATAAGTGAGTTCTTATTTTGTTATTGTTCATTTTAGTCTAACTTCATCAAAATATCACAATCTTTTAATTTCATTTTAATTTCAAAGATTAAATGAAACCTACATAGAAATGAGTGTAAGATTTGCATTTGCATTATTTTGGCATCAATTTGCTATCCTCCCTCATGCACATAGAGATCATTTCCATGTACGTGATTTCAAACATCCAGGTGCAGTATTAAAAGCAGTTGTAAATTATGGTTCTCATTTTCATGATACAATTACAATATAAACTTCCTCTTGCTGCTGTAACCAATTACCACAAACTTCATATCTTACAATAAAGTGACCGTTAATCCTACAGTTCTGTAGTTCAGAAGACTTGAATGAAACTCACAGGGTTAACATCAAGTTTTGGGCAGGGCTGCAGTCTTTCTGAGGGCTATGTGGCAGAATCTATTACTTGATTTTTTCCAGCATCCAGAGGCCACCTTTATTCCTTGGAACATGACCTCATTCTTATATCCTATTTTTCTTTTCTTTTTTTTTTTTTTTTTTTTTTGAGATGGAGTCTCCTTCTTTCACCCAGGCTGGAGTGCAGTGGCATGATCTCAGCTCACTGCAACCTCTGCCTCCCGGGTTCAAGTGATTCTTCTGCCTCAGCTTCCTGAGTAGCTTGGACTACAGGCACTTGCCACCATGCCCAGTTAATTTTTTGTATTTTTAGTAGGGATGGGGTTTCACCATGTTACCCAGGATGGTCTCGATCTCCTGACCTCGTGATCCACCCACCCCAGCCTCCCAAAGTGCTGGGATTAGGCGTGAGCCACTGCGCTGGGTCCTCATTCTTGTATCTTAAAAGTCAGTGATGTTGAGTAATTTCTCATGCCACCACCTACAAGGTTGCCTTTCTTCTGTCTTCTTCTTTCACTTATAAGGAAGTTTGTGATTTCATTGATCCCACCCATTTAAGACAATCTCTCTATCATTTTTCCGCAACCTTAATTTCACTTGAAATCTAATTTCACACTGCCGTGCAACCTAACATATTTGTATGTTAGACTCTGGGAATTAGGACATGAAAATTTTTGAGAGGCCATTCTTTTGCCTACAGCAGACATAATCTATTTAACCTGCAGATTAAAGCGTTCTTTATTTTTCTGTCTCCCTGTCTTAATTTTTTTAAAATAATATGAATTGTAGTAAAGAGAAAGAAAGAAAAGAAAACAAAGAAAGAAAAAGAAGGAAGGAAAGAAGGAAGGAAGGAAAGAAAGAAGAAGGAAAAGAAGGAGGAAATGAGGGAAGGAAGGGAGGGAGGGAGGAAGGGAGAAAGGCAGGAAGGGAGAAAAAAGAAAACATGAACACAAGAAAGAAAGAAGGAAGGAAAGAAAGAAAGAAAGAGAAAGAGAGAAAGAAAGAAAGGAGGAAGGGAGGAAGAAAAGGAGGAAGAGAGAATGGTAAAAGGGAGGAAGGCAAAGAAACAAAGAAAATAAAGAGGCGAAGGAAGGAAGGAAGGAAAAAGAGGAAAGGAAGGGAGGGAGGAAGGAAGAAAAGGAGGGCGGGAGGAAGGGAGAAAAAAGGAAAGAAAGCAAGAACGTGAGAAAGAAAGAATATGAGAAAAGAAGGAAGAAAAGGGAGGGAGAAAGGAAGGGAGGGAGGAGGGAAGGAAGAATAAGAGGAAAGAAAGAAAGAAGGAAAGAAGGAAGGAAGGAGAAAAAAAGAAAAAGAAAGAAAGGAAAAGAAAAAAGAAAAGAAAAGGAAGAGGAAAAGAAGAAAGGAAGGAAGAAGGCAAGGGAAGGGAAGAGAAGACAAAGGAAGATGGAAAGAAGGAAGGAAAACCACAAATATTAGAAATTCTGTGTTTGTTAGAGAATATGCCATACTGTTTTTTTTTTTTTTCACTTGAAAGGAAAGAGTATCTGCCATTGAAGATTGGATGTCTTGTTGGTGATATTGTTGTTCTTATCTTCCACATGATTACTGAGTTTGTGCCTAGTCTTTCCATTACTAAGACGAAAGTGTTGAAGTCTGCAAATATAATTTTGGATTTTTCTAGTTCACCTTTGATTTCTTTCATGTTTTACCTCACGTATTTGGAGGCTCTGTTGTTAGCTGCATACCCTAATTAGTAGGATGTTTACATCTTCTTGAGAATTGATTATTCTATTATCTCTCATCTCTGATACTATTTCTTGTTCCGAACTCTGTTGTGTCTAATATCAATGTAGTCCTTCCACAGCCTTATTTTAGTGTTTCCATGATATGGCTTTCTCCATATCTTGATGATAACCTATTTATATCTCTATATATTTGGAGCAAGATATAAAATTTAGACTTGATTTTTTAAAGATTTTTCAAAGATGTTTCAAGATGGAATTCTTATTTCTTTTTGTTCTATTTGACATTCTCTGAGTTTTCTATATCTGAAGTTTGATTTTCTGTCACTTCTTTTAGAATATTTTTGGCAGTTATTTTGAAAAATATTTCTTTTGCTCCACTATTTTTCCCTGTTTTCTTTTTGGGATTTCAATCATAACTAGAGTAGGTAATTTCATCTCTGTCTTATGCAGGTACTTTTTCTCAGGGTCTCAGGAATGTAGCCTTCTCACACTTCTGTTCTTTTCCTGGCTGTGTTGGTGAGCTCAGTGATATTCCTCCTTCACCTTCAAGAGCAGTTTTGTTTTGTTTTTCCTGTTTTCATACTCCCAATCATCAGGAGTATTCTAAGTGTGGCAGTTTTTGTTGCCTTCCCCTACATATTAAGTGGAATATCTTGGTCTATTTGGACTCTTATAACAAAATAACATAAACTGGGTGACTAAAAAACAACAGATATTTCTTTTTTCACACTTCTTGAGGCTGTAAGATCTCAGGTCAAGATGCTCCCAAATTCAGTGTTGATGAGAGCCCATTTCATGGTTCATAGATGGTGCCTTCTTTCTATGTCCTCACACAGTGGAAGGCACACAAGAACTCCATTGAGCTTCTTTTATAAAGGCACTAATCCGATTCATAAGAGCTCAGCCCCCAAGACCTGGTCACCTCCCAAGTGTTCTGCTCTCCCTGATCTGTATCATATACAGACTCTCTTGGATTCCTTACCAATTGCTTGAGAGATCATAGTGGGTTTGTGGAGAAAAAGTTTTCAAGATGATGGATCTTTCCCAACTTTTGCAGCTGTCAGCGGTCTCCCAATCTGACCAGCCCCACTTTGTCTTTAGGAATTTATTGATTATTCCAGCTTTACTTGTCATAGTGGTGTCTATTTGCATCTGTCCTATGTAAGTGCATCTGTCCTCTTTCTCCTTGCAGGTGCTTGTTTTCCCTCACATTTTGACTCAGTTCTTGGCAACCTCGTTGCTATAAAAATAAAGTCATGACTTTGAAGTTAGTTTGGTTCTTTCATTGTTGTCAGGTTAGGAACCCTATTCCATCCCAGATCTCCAAAACCCAGACTTTTTGGGGGGTTGAAATTTTAGGCTTTCTCTTTGAATTGTAGTTTTATCTTCTTTCAGTTACCATTTGCATTTCCATAATGATTAATGAGACTAAGCTTTTTTTGTGTAGTTGACTGTACCTTTGGATTTTTTTCCCAAATACCTTTTTATTTCTTCTTTTCTTTATGGTTTTAGAAAATGTAGTTTACATAATTGCAGCTTGATTTTATACTCAGTTAATGGCATGCTTAATGGAGAGAAAAAATATTATTTTCCTTTTTAATTACTGTGCTTTTTTTCTTTTTTAAGGAAATGTTTCATTATGTTAAATTTCAGTGTTATTCTACTTAGCTATTCCTTAAATATTATAGTATTTCGGATTTCACATGTAAATTTGTAACATATCTTGAGTTTATTATGTATAGAGTAAGGCTATTTTCTCTTTTTTTAAGGTAAAAATCACATAATAGAAAATTAATAACAACCATTTTAAAGCATACAATGCACTTGCTTTTAGTATATTCACAATGTTCCAGGGCAATTTCATCATGTCCCTTCCAAAATCCCATTATGCATAAAGTGGTTACACCCTATTCTGCTTCCCTGAGCCCTAATGACCACTAATCTAATTTACATCCCAATTGATTTGCCAATTCCTGATGTTTCATGTGAATAAAATCAAGCAATATTTGTCCTTTTGTGCACTTAACATAATGCTTTCAAATTTCACCAATATTATACCATATATAAGTACTTCATTCTTTGTTATAGCTGAAAATTTGGTGTCCAGTTATGAGTCAACAAGCATATGGATTGTTTCCACTTTTTGACTGTATGAATATTACTGCTGTAAATATTCATGCACATGTTTATTTTTTGAGCACCTATGTTTTGTAAGATTAACAGCTGACTTAAGAGAAACAATGGAAAGCAAGAGGCAGTAGAATAATATATTCAAAAGATGCAAAGGAAAAAAAACTCTCAGCCACGAATTCCTTATCCAGCAATTATTTTTCAAAAATGAAGATAACACAAAGACTTACCCAGATAAACAGAAATATTAGCTGAAGTTGTTGCTGGCAGACCTACCACATTAAAAAAAAAAAAACTCTAAAATAAATTCCTAAGGCTAAAAGCAAGTTACAGAAGACAGTCACTTGAATCCACATTTTTAAAAAAGCACTGGTATAGGTAATATTGACATTATAAAAGACAGTAAAAATGCATTTTTTCTCTTTATCATAAATTGTTTATTAAATAACATGTGTATAATGGCCGGGCACGATGGCTCACACCTGTAATCTCAGCACTTTGGGAGGCCAAGGCGGGCGTATTACGAGGCCAGGAGATCGAGACCATCCTGGCTAACACAGTGAAACCCCATTTCTACTAAAAATACAAAAAAGGAGCCGGGCGTGATGGCGGGCGCCTGTAGTCCCAGCTACTCGGGAGGCTGAAGCAGAAAAATGGCATGAAGCTGGGAAATGGAACTTGCAGTGAGCGGAGATTGTGCCACTGCACTCCAGCCTGGGTGACAGAGGGAGACTCCGTCTCAATGATAATAATAATAATATGTGCATAATGTATTGCTGAGTTTTTGACATGTAGAAATGTAATACGTCTATAACATATTTTCCAGTAACATCAAAAAGGAGGTAGTTGGAAGAAAAATGTATTGTGATAAGGTAATCACTCTAGATGGTAAAGTAATAATTACTAAAATGTATTGTTGGCTTTGTAACTTTAATAGATGTAATGTGTAAAGTGATAATACTTTAAAATGGAGGAAATAAAAGAGATTTATATAAGAATGATGTTTCTATGTATTACTAAAAGTTTACTAGTATAAATTGGAAGATGATTTGAATAATTAATTTTCCATATACCTATATGGTAAACTTACAACAACAACAAACATTCTCAAAAATATATAATAAAATAATTCATTAGTAATCTAAAGTTCCCTATTTTAGAAAATATTCTTTCATTGCAAAATAAAGCAATAAAGAAAAATATTTGAGAAATATATAAAACAAACGGTAAAATGGCAGACATAAATAGAATTATACCCATTATAATCTTAAATGTGAGCAGATTAAAATCCATTCCAGAGGCAGAGATTGTCAGACTGGATTAAAACAAGTGATCCCAATATACGCTGAGATGCAAGGATACTAATGGATTGAAAGTAAAAAGATGACAAAAAATATCATGCAAAGAGCAATCATAAGAACACTGAACTCATTATACTCATAACACACAATATAGACTATTAAAAATGTGAATAGGATTTTAAAAATTTATATTGTAGTAAAAAGGGGGTCAACGCTTTAGGAAGACATAGCTATTACAATCATGTATGCACAGATATGAGCTAAATTGTTTCCTCTATATAGATGCTGCAATTCCAACCACTGAATATGACCTCATTAGGAAATAGGTTCTTTACAGCTGATCAAGTTAAGATACAATCAGATGAGCCTGAATTCAGTATGACTGATGTCCTTATTAAAAGAAGAAATTTGAGTAGAGGGAGACATACACACAGGGAGAGTACCATGTGATTATGAGGGCAGAGATTAGCCAAGGAATGCCAAAGACTGCCACTAAACCATCAGAAGTGAGAAACAAGGCATAGAACAGGCTTTCTCTCATAGCCCTGGAAGGGACCATCCCTGCTGACACCTCAATCTCAGACTTTTAGCTTCCAGGACTATAAGACTATAAATGTATGTTGTTCATGGCACCCAGTTTGTGTTACTTGGTTATGGCAGCCCTAGAAAACTAATACATGAACTAATAACAAAGCATAATAACACGAAGCAAAAATTGACAAAAGAGGAGCATCAGCAAAATGACAGTGGAGACAGCTGCAATCTGTCATTTCCCCACAGAAACATCACACAACTAAGAGAAACTGTCTGAATAAACTTTGTCAAAACTCTGGAAAATAGTCTAAAGATTACAACAACCGAGTGAAAGCAGACTCAAGAAAAAGACAACTTGAAAACTTTATGACATTTTTAACTTGCCTTTGCCCCAGCAAATTGGCAGTTTTGAAGTGGCAGAAGCCCACGTTCCCAGTGAGGAACACTGGTCCATGGTCCAAAGGAACAAGAGAAGATCTTACCTGCAAATTACTATGTGTCTGTTCTGACTGGTCTGGGGGATACCTAAAGGACTCATGAAAGGCTTTTGTTTTTCTGTGTTGCTAGAATACAGATCAGATAAGGAATGGACATTATCGAGAGACTCTGCAAGGAGACCTAACAAACCACAGATGCTTAGGGCAAAAATTAGAGTTTACACATATAGTAGATCATCTTCAGCACAGGAAGAAAAGTTGGAGAAGAGTATTTGGAAAACTAAGACATTCAAAATCATTCACGTACATGGGAGAGTCTAGAAAGTCACATGCATGCATAGGTTAAGCCACATGCTGACAAATGTCATAAGAAGACCCTACACTTTTACCTTGGCCGATCCCTCCCCTCAGTGCAAGCTCTGTGCAAGAGTGAACTTGAACTTCACTCAGTGCAAGAGTGAACACACACTTTGTGCCGGCTTTAAAGAACCCAGCACAAAGCCAGTCTGCATGGCCTAGAGACATATTTTGCTGGACAATGATTACTTGTTTTTCTTTTTGTTTTTGTTGTATTTGCCTGTTTGCTTACTTCCTGACATACAAGAAAATCACTGTCAAAACATTAGCTTAACATTTGTTAAGGAAACAAAAAGACTTCCGTGACCACACCTTATAAAGCAAACAGTTTTGTAAATCACTTTGGAAAATTTCACTAAAAAAAAAAATCCTTAACAATATAATAAGTAAAGAAAATTTAAAACCCCAAAACATTACTGTGTTTGTGGGGGAGGGTCTGATTCACAGAGTAACCACATAGTAATTATAATTATTATAATGCCCAGTTTTCAAAAAAAGTTACATGGCATACAAAGAACGGGAAAGTATGGCTCATTCAAAGGAACAAAACAAACTGACAGAAAATATCTCTAAGGAAACCCAGACTTCAAACTTACTAGACAAAGACTTTAAAACAACTCTCTTAATTATACTCAAATGTCACAAGGAAAACATAAACGAAGAAATAAAGGATTCAGAAAAAATATTAAAAAGTAGGAATATCAACAGAGATAGCAGAAATTCTGGAGTGGAAAACTACAACGATAAAAATTTAAAAATCACCAGAGGGATTTAAGAGTATATTTGCATACACAGAAGAAGTCATGAGCTTGAAGATAAGAAAATGGAAAATATTGACTCTGAGAAACAGATAAAAAATGAGCAGAGACTAAGGAATCTGTGGGACATCATCAAATAGACCGACATTCATATTCTGGAAGGATAAATTATGTTGTTGAAAACTTTAGCATTCTTTCTTTTCACCTTTCTTTCTTCCTCCCTCTCCCTCCTCCTCCTTTTTACTTTTCTTCCTCTTCCCTTCTCTTCTTCTTTCTCTCCTTCATTATCCCTTTCGCTCTGTTTCTCTTTCTCCCTTTCTCTTTTTTCTTTTCTTTCAATTTTCTCCATTACTAAGAGATGTTTGCATACCCTTACCATGTGAGTTGATATGGTTATTTCTCCCTTTAATCCTCTTTTGAGATTTATAGTCTCTCTAAGTAAAGAGATAACCCAAACATAAGCCTCACAAACAGGCTTCCATACCATTCTTAATTTGGTCCTGTAATTCTTCATTGCTGTATTAACTTTCTGATGCTTTTAAGGATGTTTTACAACAAATTGTTTAGTTTTTTTCCACTGGAATGCTTATTCTCAATTATCTAATTCATATTGTAAGTATAGAGGGAGCTTAATATAAAATTATTAAACTAATATTTGTGAAAGAACGTATTTGTGCATTTAACAAATATGTTAATCCTCAGACTGTTATTGCGCAGCTGAGCATACAGGAATAAAAATAACATAATTTTTATGTGTACAATATTTATGGAATTCGTTACTGGAACAAATAAATAATTTAGTTAATAACATGACAAAGAACAGAAATTGTATACACTATAGAGCATAGTAATGGAATAATGAATGATTAAAGTTATTAATATTAGGTAGAAAATGAAGGGTGTCTTTGAGAGCAGAACTCAAGGAAGCAAGCAATTCGCCTTATGAGGAAAGAGTTACCTGTGGATAAAGGAGAAACTGAAAAATTTACAAGTCAAGACTTTTTGAGCAAAAATAAAAATATGATTTTTAGTCACCAATTCAGTACAGTGAAAAAAAAGTTGAAGAGATATCTTGGAAGTAAACCATGTTGTGGAAGAGCATGTAGGGTTTTGATAATCAGGGGATTATTCTGAATTAATTTTAAATGCGATAGGAATATATGAGATAATTTAACCAGAGAATAACATGATTGTGTTTGCATTTCAAAGGGGTGTATCTGGTGCACCGTGTAGAATAAATAGGTTTTGTGAGCAAATAAATTGGGAGGCTACTCTAATCCAGAGAAAAAAGGTAGTGACTTAGGTGAGAATGCTGTCAGGATGAGTGGTAGTAGTGGTGAGAAGTCGTTAGGCCATGGATGTATTTCATAGGACTGGCCAAGAGAACTGCAGCTAAATTGGAGTGTAGGGAGTGAAATGGAGAACTCAAAGACGACTCTCAGCACTGGAAAGTGACAGCTGTCACTGAAGCATGCTGATGCCTCTTATTAAGAGAGTTACTTGGGAGTGGCAAGATCAAAACTTCTCACTTTCAAATTTATGAAAAATATTGTTTTCAGAACGAATGACTTTGGGATCAGAAAGCCATCATTCTAACTGATGGTTCCAAGACTACACGGGCTCACACTCCCAAGAACAGAAGTAAATCATCACAAAGGTGCTTCCTGATAATTCTAGAGAATGGAGAATTACTGTGACATCTTTCTGATTTTAGGAGAGGTAGCAGTTCCCTGTTTAGCCTAAACGCTATTTTTTTTTAAAGCTCAGCCAAGAGACTCCATTATAATTTTCAAATGTGTGTAACTTAAATTCTCATATGAAATACCACTATGCTTAAATTAGTCAAAACATTTTCCCCATCTACAACTCTATCTTGTCATTGCGATCATTTTCACAAAAGTGACTGCGGCTCACAGACCCTAAAAGGAGAAAATCCAGGGTAGGTTATCTGATCTAGTTAGTTTCGAAGACAGGATCTAGAGATTATTTAATATGAAATAGGTCACCTGAAATGAAGTGTTTACTGAAAACAGCTTGGATCAGCCCAGTTTTCTACCACTGAACCATGCATTTGGTTTAAAAAACACAACAACTCTGGGGAATATCGGCTGCTTCCAACTGTGTTGAAGGTGTTAAAGAAAAGAGCATAAAAGTAAAAATGATCATCTGAGGCCTTTATAGTCTCTGCTCAAGAGACTAGAGTCTTCCATTCTTAACGAAACACCCAAATATCTTAATAATTGGGCAAAATCTAAATATCAGAGAGATAATTTTATCTTGAAGATTGTTAAATTATAATGGTGATTCACTACCTTGCCACGTCTCTGAGTCAAAAATTAGGTCTTTGTTTAGGAATCAATGGTACTCTGCAACTTGGAAATAGGAAGATTTTAGAAGACTCAAACACTGACTTTCTTGTGTGCAAAAAAAAAGACATATTGAGATAAGACAAGTCTTTCCTTGCAAGGATACCTCTAATGCCCATACACCACCTCCCCTAACGTTAATATAGCTTCCAGGTCAGTAACCAGTGTCAGAGAGCAGCCCATGCAACTACAAATTCAATAGATGTCGAACACAGGGTCAAGCCTAGAATAAGAAGTCTTAGCTAATTAAGTATGCTTTTTTCCCCAAATTCATATTAACGAAAACTTGGATATGTCAGAGAATGCATTCTAAGTTCACTCAACCTAGGAGGGAGAAACATAATTTTAAATTAAGAGCTGAAGCATTCTTGTCCTAACAAAAAGCAAGGAAAACGAAATATCACACCACAGGAGGGATTTCACAAATTAGTGTCAACATCAAAACCTTAAAATAGGCAAGGAGAATGCAGATTCACAATGAACTCTTGTACTTGTTTTGTTCAGAGAAGAGATGGTTCTGAGAGAATGACAGTGAACTAACCCCAGCTGGTTTAGTTGGTGCTTTCAACTGCTGCTTCTGATCAACTCCTTTAGCTAGAATAAATTGATGAGGATTTTGGCATGTGGTATTAGAGATGGTTATTAATTTTTTCCTCTTATTTGCATTGTTCAATGTAGTAAATACTAGCTGTATATGGCTACTTCAATTCAAATTAATTACAATGAAATATACTTAAATATTGAATTTTTTAGTCACTGTTGGTTCATTATTGAATACCTTCAGCTAAGATTTCCCATCTAAATACACTAAGAGGTGGCTTAGTTAACTGGTCGTCCACAAATATTGAGGCTGATGTTAACTCCTGATATATTCTCTGCAAATAGAATATTCATGAGCCTCCTCCTGAAATCAGCAGCCTAGAGATAGTTTTATAAATTGGATACAAGTTGGAAATCTATATACTCTTTCAGTTTTTGAAATATTAGCTTCCCAGGGAAGAAAATCAAATTCATAAGATATGTTAGGACAATTTAACTCAAGATGTTCAAAACTGAAATGACGTATTCTACAATATATGATAAAACCACCCCCTAACAACTTAAAGCAAAACAGGGATTGACCTTAAAGACCTGCCTTTTCCTCATCCCCCAGCCAATCAGTTTTCAAATCTTGCATTTTATTTCGAAAGGTCCTTATCCCCCTAGTCTCTTGTTTCTAGACTCGGCACATATTTAAGTTTGTTACCTCTATCTACTGACTTTTTTCTCTTCAAACGGTATCTATGCCTGCCAAATGTGAATATACAAAAAACAAATCAGAATGTGCCATTCTGATTTAAACTGCTTATTAGTTAAAACCCTCAAGATAACATCTGGGTTCTTGGCTGCAATGAGTCAAGCCTACTTACATCTTTTTTTGTCTTTGGCTGCACATTTCCTATCACATCACACTCCAGCAAAGCCAACCTGTGCCGGCCTTCTACCCCATCTCCACTATTTTGCCCCGCGTCGCCGCGGCTTTTTGCCCCCCCCCCCCCGCCGCTGCGGCTTTTTGCCCCCCGCCGCGGCGGCTTTTTGACCCTCATCGCCGCGGCTTTTTGCCCCCCGCCGCCGCGGCTTTTTGACCCTCATCGCCGCAGCTTTTTGCTCTCCGCCGCCGCGGCTTTTTTGCCTCCCCCACCACCGCGGCTTTTTGCGCGCCTTGGCTTTTTGCACCTCCGCCGCCGCGGCTTTTTCCCCACCGCGGTTTTTTGCCCCCCCCGCCGCCTCGGGTTTATGCCTACCACGGCTTTTAGTTCCCTGCCGCCGCGGCTTTTTGCCCGACCCGGCTTTTTGCCCCCCCGCCACCGCAGCTTTTTGCCCGCCGCGGCTTTTTGCACCCCCACCACCGCAGCTTTTTGCCGCCCGCCGCCGCGGCTTATTGCCCCCCATCGCCGCGGCTTTTTGACCCCCGCCGCCGCGGCTTTTTGCCTTCCGCGGCTTTTTGCCCCCGCGGCTTTTTGCTCCCCGCCGCCGCGGCTTTTTGCTCCCCCGCCCCCGCGGCTTTTTGCCGCCCGCCGCCGCGTCTTTTTGCCCGCCCCGGCTTTTTGCCCCCACGCCGTCGCGGCTTTTTGGCGCCCCCGGTGCCGCGGTTATTTGCCCGCCGCGGCTTTTTGCACCCCCGGCGCCGCGGCTTTTTGTCCCCCGCCGCCGCGGCTTTTTGCCGGCCGCGGCTTTTTGCCTGACCCGGCTTTTTGCCCCCCGCGTCTTTTTCACCCCCGCCGCCGTGGCTTTTTGCCGCCGCGGCTTTTTGCTGGACCCGGCTTTTTGCCCCCCCACCGCCGCGGCTTCTTGCCCCCCGCCGCCGCGGCTTTTTGCCCCCCCGCCGCCGCGGCTTTCTGCCCGCCGCGGCTTTTTACCCGCCGCCGCCGCCGCCGCCGCCGCCGCCGCCGCGGCTTTTTGCTTGACCCGGCTTTTTGCCCCCTGACCGCCGCAGCTTTTTCACCCCCGCCGCCGCGACTTTTTGTCGCCGCGGCTTTTTGCCCCCCACCACCGCCGCGGCTTTTTCACCACCGCCGCCGCGACTTTTTGTCGCCGCGGCTTTTTTGCCGCCCCCTCCCCCGCACCGCGCCCGGTGCCGCGATTATTTGCCCGCCGCGGCTTTTTGCTCCCCGCCGCCGCGGCTTTTTGTCCCCCCGCTCCCACCATCGCGGTTTTTTGCGCACCTCGGCTTTTTGCCCCCCGCCGCCTCGGCTTTTTGCCCCCCTGCCGCCGCGGGTTTTTGCCGGCCTCGGCTTTTTGCTCCCCCGCGGCTTTTTGCTCCCGCGCTACCGCGGCTTTTTGCCCGCAGCGGCTTTTTGCGCTCTCCACCCCCCCCCCCCCCGCCCACCGTGCCGCGGTTATTTACCGGCGGCGGCTCTTTGCACCCCCGCCGCCGCGGCTTTTTGTCCCCCGCCGCCGTGGCTTTTTGCCCCATGGCCATCCTCAGAAGCGTGAGTGGAACAGAGTGAAGGGAAAGCTGTTTTCTTCGAAAACTCAAAAATCTTGAACTTTCAAATAGGGATAAGTGTTATTTTTGCTCCAAGCACACATTTGAGAAATCTTCCATTTAGCGGATATGATGATAAACCCACATTTTTTGTTTGTTTTAATCTGAAAATGTATTTGTATGGTTCTTGGAAATATTTTTTTGCATATAAAATTATAGTTTATCCTCTTATTTCAAGTTTTATTTACCATTTGATAGTTACTCCTAAAATGTTATTGATTAAAGAAAGAATCATCTATTGCTCCAACTGCTCTTTACTAAAGGTAATTTGTCTTTTTAACCTCATCAGGCTCCTTTTAAGCTCTCAAACTGACCTTATTTTTTTTTACAGATTGAATGCATTAAGTCAATTTATTATTTATGATGAATTTATTTATGTATTTATTTTTGCTATCACAAGTAGAAAAAGCCTATAAGTTGCCATGCCAAAAACCTGCCTCTAGATGGCAAACAAACCCCGCAATACACAAAAGAGAGCCAAATTCTTAGAAACCCTGGGAAAGGAAGAGGGCTACTGTCCCATTAACAACTTGGAGCCCTTAAGGCAAGAATGAGGTGGAACATCTGGGAGGAGACACCAGGGTGCGGAGTAGTGGGGAACCTGCTCTGTGCTCTGAGACTGAAAGCCCAGCCTTGCCTCTCACCACTGCCTTGACTGTGTCCCCATCTGCTGTGAAGTGAATGGTGTCTTCTAAATTCATGCTGAGCCCTAATTGCTGAAAAGTGTAAGACATGCAATGGGATTATGTGCATCTTCCCGACACCAACATGATGCTCAGGAAGGAGACTTCTTGCTTTCTCTTAGGATTCTTTTACTAACCAAGATTTTGCCTCTACTGCATATTTCCCTTTGCTGATTGTCCCTCCCTTTTGACAGAAGATGGCCCAGGGCATTCACTACTAAGTCTCAACCTCTTACCCAAAGCCCTCAGTCTAGTGTTGCTCTTTCCTTCATGCTATTTTTGTTTCTTTCTTTTCTTGTAATCATCTTGGCAATAAAATAATCACTTTTTTCTTTCTACCTATTAAAGATGTTACCTTAGTTAATTACAGTGGTTTCCTTCAGAATGGTAAATGGTCTTTCAAAATGATGTAAAGAGATCTAAATCCGTGTGCTCCAGAAGTTGAATGAAGCTCTGTCTACCACGGGTGCCAGTGACTCTCCCAGAGTGCTCCATGCAGCTGGACCCACAGAGTCCCTCTGTGCTGTCATATCACCCACTGCCTTCTGTGAATGAGATATTCTGATTGGAATCCTGGTGGATGCTATTTGAGCCAGTGTCCCCACAACTCCTATGAAAGCCGAGGACCACAGGCCCCTGAAGACAATCACAGGTCTCTAGACTCACAGCTCCTGACCGTCCTCTGCAGACACAGCTTCTCCCCGGATGGCTGAGGGTTGTCATTGGCTGTGTCCTTCCTTGTGCATGACAACAGGAGACATAGAAGGTCTGTAAGCAGCCCTGCAAGCCAGGTTCTGAGCAAGCCCTCCTGTGTGGGGCCCTCTTACCTGGACATAGGTGTGTAAACCAAAAATGAAACTCTAAGCTCCCTAACCAACTGAATGAACTCCTCCTCTCAGCCAAGGACACACCAAAATCAACCTGAAATACAATGCAGTCCATAATCGGAACGGATGATTGGATATGCCTTAACTTACCCTCTTCCCTTTAAAATTCAGGCACAACTGACCAGCTTTTAATATGAAGACAGAGACCTTGAGACTGACAAAGAAAACTCTTTATAGCAATAAGTTACCAATGTGGCAGATACCACGTCCTAAGAGAAATCAAAGTATTTTCCCCAAGATATTGTTATTTAATGTATTTAAAAATGCCTCTGCAAAGCTGGTTCTTGTGGGAAAAGTCTACATTCTGTAGAGATTCCTTTTTAAGTCTCTTTCCTGACCCAGAGAGATTTAACTAAGAGTTTGGCACCTTTTAAGTCTACTAAGAAACAATTACAATCTATTCTCTCTGAAGCCTGCTACCTGGAGGCTTCATCTGCATGATGCAACCTTGGCTCCAAAACCCTTTTTCTAAACCCAGAAACTCCCTTGTGTTGATTACAGGTCATTAGATAAACTCTTTCAACCACCTATGAAATCTTTGAATCCACCTATGACCTGGAAGTCCCCAACATCCCCCCTCCTTCGGGCTGTCCTACCTTTCCATATCAAAACAATGTGCAGCTTACACGTATTGATTGATATCTTATGTCTGCCTAAAACGTGTAAAACCAACCTGTAGCCCGACGACCTTTGACACACGTTCTCAAGACCTCCTGAGGCTGTTTCACTGATATTTCTTTAACTTTGACCAAATAAATTTCTAAACTGATTGAGACTTTTCTCAGATACTTATTTGTTTATAGGTATCACTGGATACACTTAAGGAATTGAAGAGATTTATGACATTGAGAAAAGGAGGAAGCCAGGGTGTGTGGACATTGAGAGAGAGAGAGAGAGAGAGAGAGAGAGAGAGAGAGAGAGAGATTGTGATGTATGTACAGGACTAACACTGAGACCTGGTTATGTAATGGTGTAGTACTGAGTATCATCCCCAAATAGTGAGGTTTCATTCCAAGAAGACTATGCATGTATCTCATTTGGGAAAACAGCTTTTGCAGGTGTAAATTAAGGAGCTTGAAACAGGGAGATGGTCTTAGATTAATCAACTGGGACTTAAATGCAAACTCAAGTGTCCTAAAAAAAACAAGAGGTAGAGAGACATTTAGCATAGACTGAAGTGGAGAAGGCAGTGTGAACACAGAGACAGAGATTGCAGTGATGTGTCCACATCCCGGGAGAGAGAAGCCACCAGAAGCTGGAAGAGCTAAATCAGACTGCTCCCTAGAGCTTCAGAAGGAGCCAGAACTGATGACTCCAAGATCTTAGCCCAGTGAAACTGATCTGGACTTCTGAACTATGAGAGATTCCATTCCTGTTGTTTGAAGCTACCACATTTTTGAGAACTTATTACAGTAGCCCGAGGACACTAACACAAATGGGGCTCCGGGAAAATCCAGACTAAAGTTGTTGTGTTGGTTTGCAATCTCCTTGCTTAACTTTCTGATACTAGATGTAAATAGATTGTTGAAAAATTTTGTGATTGAAGAAATGTACATGAAACCTACAGTGTACAGAGAAGCATCTGTTAGTTATAAGATAAATATTGATAATTTTAGTTGAAAATGACATATGACTGTTAATATCTCACATAACATTCTGAGTTACTCAAGGATGCATAAAAGGGGCACTAGATACTCTTCTCATGTATGTGTGTGTGTCTGTCTATACATGTATGTACACTTCATGGTGCATCAGCTGGCGGAACCCTCAGGACACCCCTTCACATCCTCAGTGCCCCATTTCACACATGAGGAAACTGTTCATGACAGCACATGGCTGATTTGCATAAAAGTCACTTGGTCAGCAGTTGTTGAAGCTGAACTTGGAATCTAGGTCTGTCTGACCTTAACTATGTTCCTTCCACAGAGCCACGTTCATTCCATAGAGGAACCCACCACCTATAAAACCAGGAAAGAGACAAAGCCAGAAGTGCAGGGTGGATTTCTTAACACAAGCTCACTGCAACCTCTAGTCCTCATCACGCTGACACTAAGCTTAAACCCAGACCCTTCTACAGTTTTGTCTACAAAGCACAATTTGCCCAAAGCCTTTACAAACACCAACAGCCTTTCTTTCAGATATGGCAGCAGGGTCACATCTTACACGGCCCTGACCACATTTTGTCTCCTCTGCCATCCCCATCTCTCTGACTCAGTCCTCGCTTGCAGCCATAAAAAAGGATGAGTTCATGTCCTTTGTAGGGACATGGATGAAGCTGGAAACCATCATTCTCAGCAAACTATCGCAAGGACAAAGAAACCAATCACTGCATGTTCTCACTCACAGGTGGGAATTGAACAATGAGAACACATGGACACAGGAAGGGGAACATCACACACCAGGGCCTGTCGTGGGGTGGGGGGAGGGATAGCATTAGGAGGTACACCTAATGTAAATGACGAGTTAATGGGTGCAGCACACCAACATGGCACATGTATACATATGTAACAAACCTGCACGTTGTGCACATGTACCCTAGAACTTAAAGAACAATAATAATAATAATAAAAAGAATAGGTCTTGTACATCTAATTTGCCCTACAAATGTTAAAACAGCAAACCCGCATCCCCTTCCTCTTCTCATGTGCTGTGAGGGATGACCTCCAGGCTCTCAGATACCAAGACTGTACAAGACCTAACCCAGAGAATTACTCAAGACACTTTCTACGTAAGAAGAATTGTGGTGCTAGCTCCCCTCATAGAAAAATGTTTTCTGTCTCTTGTTGAAATTGACAGCAAACACAAAAACACAGAACTATTTGGGAGAACAGAGGACAGTGATACACTAGGGAAGTAAAACACACCCCTTCCCCTTGCATTGGTTTCCTGTTGCTGCTGTAACAAATTACCACAACCTTACTGCTCCACATAACACAAGTGTATTATCTTACATTTCTGGAGGTCAGAAGTCTCAATGAAGTAAAATCAAGGAGTAATAGGGCTCTATTCATTCTAGGCTTCAAGAGGGAAAATCCAATATCGAGCATTCCATCTTTCTGATGTTCCCACATTCCTAGCAGCATGGCCCCTTCCTCCATCACTCCAGTTTCCCTGTCCGTTGTCCCAGGTCCTCTCTGGCTGTTACCTTCCTCCTTCCCTATTATAAGGACCCTTGTGATTATGATGGTCCCACCCAGATAATTCAGGATACTCTCCTGACCCCAAAATTCTCAACCACGTCTGCCAAGTTATTTTTGACTTGTTCATAAGTAATGATCATAGATTCCAGATATTAGAACAATGATGTCTTTAGTGGGTGTATTATTCATTCCACAAACAACCCTCATCATCCCCACAATGGTCTTCCCCTAAGGTAGAATAAAAATATCACAAGGCAGATTTACGAGGCGATCGACCTAGAAAAAACCTGAGACTCTAGGACTGTCTGATGTGTGGATGTCAAATCCTGGAAGATTCTGAGTCTCTGCTCTATGTGGACTCTATGTTGTGTAGCCATTTGTGGAAGGCTTCTGTGATTTTGTGACCTAGAGAAAATGAACCTCTGCTAAAATCAAATCTAAGAAAGATTGGCAAAGGGGATTTAAAGATTTCCTAAATTTTTGGAATTTCCCTAGGCATTAAAACATGAGAAGTGGCAATAATTCAAACCAACGATGCCCTCCAAGAATGAGGATTTTTCCAATGCATTAGGTTGGGTCCCCTCAGAGAGAAGGATGCCAAAGATTCGCATGCGGGCAGTATATTTACAAAGTGCGGGAAACAAGCAAGTGAGCAAGGGAGGGGAGGAGGGAAAGGGAAAGTGAAAGGTGCCTCAGAAGGAGCCACCTCTGAGGATGACGAGAGCTCAAGCCCACATACAAACACAGGAAAAATGCCTCTGTTATTCCATCTGAGAGGTGAGGGAGCTGCGGGATGTGTACACCTCCCTTGTCATCACTGATTGGCAGCCTTCCTAGGGGATGCTAATTCCAGGCCATGAGGTCTGCCTCATTTGCAGCCTGAGCTGCTTCCCCAGGTTCAGACAGAGCAGTGAAGGGGAGAAAGGGCCATAGAGAGTCAGCTGAAGTATAATGTCTAGAATCCCCAAGGCGTAGTAACAATGACTGCTAAAATTATGCACAAAGAAAAAGTGCATTTGAATCCAGAGATGTATCTCTCTGAATCTGGATATATGGATCCTGGCAGCCTGTTCAGTAGCCATTTCCCAGAGATCCAGTCCTCTGGAAAAGCAGCAGGAGGTTTGTGCACAGGCTGCACTACCTTGGTCTGGCCACTGGTAGTCGTGCATGAGAACTACTCCCTGGAGTATTTCTCAGTCCACTGACACTGATGTAATTGGCTCCACTTCCCCTGCTGTTGAGCCAGGCCGACACGCCCTGGGCAAAGGCATCTGTGTGAAGTATTGAGGTGCAAATCAGTACTTAAGATATGTTTGGAGGCAAAATACTTTTTCATCTACATGGGCAGTGTCTTGGCAGAAGATGGAGATTCTCTCTAAATGGATGTGAGACAGGGTGGCTGGCATCTGGGTCAGGATGATGCCCTGGTGCATGGCAAGAACATGCATTGGGCAGCAGCTGCCCTCGCTAAGGAGAGAGGTTCACTGACCTGGCTTTTCCCCCCTCACCTGCTCTCCAGAAAGCCAGACTCTAGGGCAGATGCTCCTGAGACCCCAGGAACAGGCTGGTGGGGAGCGCAGCTCAGAGCATTACTCAGGGGATGTGGCCTTTGTCATCCTACTTTGAAACAATTGACTATTTGAGCCTAGATTGATAGAGGGCTTCAAGTTGATTTTAATCCAGGCTCCTATAGTCCGCGAGTGAAACAGAGATTTTGAAATAATGAGACCTGGTATTACCAGTCAGCTCTCCATGCTGGAGAACCATAAGAAATTATACCAAAGGCAGGAAAGGGGATAGAATATAGGGATCATCACGCCAAGAATAAGGTGCAGCCCATTTAGCCCCTGGGTCTTAAAGAGACCCATAGCTCTGGATAATGGCAGATCTATGCGTGACACAGTTATCATCTTTGTGCATCTTCAGAGAATTGTTTTTCCTTTTACTCCTAGGAACAATGTCTTAAGTTTGTTAGTAAATTCTATTGAATTTATTAAAGATGCTTCTCATAAATTCTTTTTATATTCATTTCAAGAAAGAAGCAATTTCACACTGACAGAGACATTGTTATTATAGCACTAAATACTTTTACACTCATCAAATTCCTTTGAGACTAACTGAAATTTCTGACAGCCCCACACTCTATAACTTTATTGTAAATTTTCTGCCAAAAATGATGCTTTCCTATACACTCCTAATACAAGTATAAATATATTATTTAATCTAGTCTTAGGTTGATTTAAAATTTTGAAAATTCACTCCAAACATATGTTCTGTAACCGTATGGCCACCAATGAGAAGTGTACTGTTTCAAGGTAAATCTGTGCTGCCCTGGTCTGACCTGGGACTCTGGGGATACTGCGCCCGTGTGCTGAGTTACTGAGATGAGCCGGCCCTGCAGCTGTGCTCAGCCTGCCCCATCCCCTGCTGATTTGCCTGTTCCTAGAGCACAGCCCCCTGCCCTGAAGACTTCTTATAGGCTGCTCACACCCGGTGCAGGAGTCAGCCCCAGTCAGGACACAGCACGGACGTGAGGGCCCCCACTCAGCTCCTGGGGCTCCTGGGGCTCTGGCTGCCAGGTAAGGAAGGAGAACACTAGGATTATACTCGGTCAGTGTGCTCAGTACTGTCTGGAACTTCAGGGAAGTCCTCTGATAACATGATTAATTGCAAGAATATTTGTTTTTATGTTTCTAACTTCAGGTGCCAGATGTGACATCCAGATGACCCAGTCTCCATCCTCCCTGTCTGCATCTGTAGGAGGCAGAGTCACCATCACTTGCCGGGCGAGTCAGGGCATTAGCAATAATTTAAATTGGTATCAGCAGAAACCAGGGAAAACTCCTAAGCTCCTGATCTATGCTGCATCCAGTCTGCAAAGTGGGATTCCCTCTCGGTTCAGTGACAGTGGATCTGGGGCAGATTACACTCTCACCATCAGCAGCCTGCAGCCTGAAGATTTTGCAGCTTATTACTGTCAACAGAGTGACAGTACCCCTCCCACAGTGTTACAAGTCATAACATAAACCCCAAGGAAGCAGATGTGTGAGGCTGGGCTGCCCCAGTGCTCCTTCTGGTGCTTCTATCTGCTGAGGGAAGTTCTCAAACTCAGTCAGGTTTGGAAAGTCATTGGGAGATTTTCCTAGAGGAGGCCAGGGAGGTTCCTCTGAACCCTAAGCCTCTTTTGCCCTCATCCCCAGCAGAAAAGACGTGACAATGCCTGTCCTGACTGAATAAAGAAGAGAGATAAGTCCAGCTGAGGAGTCTGTGTTATGGGATAATCGGAATTTGTACAGCAAAAGAGAAGCTATTCTCAGTATTTCAAGGAGAAATTATTCAAGTTGAATAAATTAGAGTCTAAACCACAGTCTTTCTGAAGCCTATGGAGTGTTATTCATGAAGCAGGTACTAGACACAGGGGATTCTCAGGTGCTACTTCAGAAGCCAGGGTGCACCTGCCCCTGGTGGTATGTGCTGAACACCGTGTGATGATCCTCAGTCTGGTCTGGGAAGCCCAGGGCTGGGGGTGCTGATGTTCTCAGCTGCCTGCAGCACATCTCCAGGTGATTCTCCAGTCCACACCTAACTGCATGTGTTTTACTTCAGGTGTCAGTGTACATGAATCCACCACTCTGACTTCCCAATCTCATGACAGTAATTAGTTGTAACTTATTGTAACCTCATGGAGCAACTCTAAAGAAACCATAGAGAGAAAAGGAGTTTTGGAAAATGTGCTCCCAGAAGTGATAGTAATGATGGGGAATTGACAGCTGATGGGGAAGTAAGGTGACTCTTTCCACAAGGCTCAACATTTTGCCAGTTACGAATTGTTGCAAAATACATTTGAATGTGCTTTCAAGTATTACCAGTTTGGGGTCATAGCTGAAAAACTTTATTAAGTCACAGATAAAATGGGAAAATCAGGAAATTGTATGAAATACAGAATAACACTGTGTGTGATGGCTCAGGTCTGTAATCCTGTGATAGTTAATACTGATTGTCAACTTGATTACATTGAAGGATGTAAGCATTGCTCCTGGGTGTGTCTGTGAGGGTGTTGCCAAAGGAGATTAATATTTGAGTCAGTAGTCTGGGGAAGGCAGACCCCCTACTTAATCTATGGGCACCATTTAATCAGCTGTCAGTGAATATAAAGCAGGCAGAAAAAAGTGAAAAACTGAGTCTGGCCCAGCCTCCCAGCCTACATCTCTCTCCCGTGTTGGATGCTTCCTACCCTTGAACATCGGACTCCAAGTTCTTTAGTTTTGAGACTCGAGCTGGCTCTCCTTACTCCTCACTCCTCATGCCTGCAGACAGCCTACTGTGGGACCTTGTGATCCTGTAAGTTAATATGTAATAAACCCATATATATATATATATATATATATATATATATATATATATATATATATATATATATATATATAACTTATTAGTTCTGTCCCTCTGTCCCTCTAGAGAACCCTCACTAATACAGATTTTGGTACCAGGAATGGTTCTGCAGGAACAGAATATTAAGGTTGGAGTTCTTTTGTTGGTTTTGGGGTTTCTGGATTTGGCTGCTAAATATGATTAGATCCCAAAATGCTAAGGACTCTACTTTTAATAGTGTAGAGAATATTGACAGTTCTTGGCATGAAAGGTTTAAAGAGCTATGCAAAACAAATTCATTTGACACTAATGAATCATCCCTCGTGAGAGGCAAGGAGTTTAGCGACTCTGTACCTAATACCCTTGACAAACACCTTGCAAAATAGATTTGTGAGGACAGCACCTGCATCTTTGAAGAGCCCTGTAAAGGCTCTTCTCTGTATGTCAGATCTAATGGTGAGAACTGCAGTCACTCAGTTACAAAAGTTAAATACAATTTGGAATAATTGGATCCTGAAGTGGCAGGGGCCAAGTGGTAGCACTCAACCCTCAAAGGCACGGTGGGCGTAGCTACCGTAATGGGCAGAAAAGACAAAGCAGCAATCTGAACAGTCTGACTCATGTAGAGCTCTGGCATTGGCTAACTAATCACAGTGTTCCTAGAAGTGAAACTGACAGGAAGACTAATGCATTCCTACTTAATTTACGTAAGGAGGAAACTTAAGGTCAAACAGATAAAAGACTAATTGGAATTATAAAAACAGAGATTCATGGCCCCTCAATCAATTTCCAGCCTTGAGCCAGGTTATGGACCCAGAACCCCTTGAATGAAGGGGAGGCTGGGTCCCCCCGACGTGTCCATGGCAGATAGGAATGCTGCTTTGAGGCTTTGGCAGGCCTCCATAGGTGAATCATGGTGGAGGCCTCTAGTATTTTGCAGCAAGGCCCGGTCATCTTCTCCAGTTAACTACTCTCCTTTTGAGAGACAGCTCTTGTCCTATACTGGGCTTTTGTGGAAACTGAACATTTGACTATGAGTCAACAAGTCACCATGCGACCTGAACTGCCTATCGTGAACTGGGTGCTTTCTGACTCATGTAGCCATAAAGTGGGTCATGCACAGCAGCATTCCATCATCAAATGGAAATGGTGTATAAGTGATTGGGCTCAAGCAGGTCCTGGGGGGCACAAGTAAGTTACATGAGGAAGTGGCTCAAGTGCCCATGGTCTCTACTCCTGCCACCCTGCCTTCTCTCCCGCGGCCTGCACTGATGACCTCATGGGGACTTGCCTTTGAGCAGTTGACACAGGAAGGGAGGACTAGGGCCTGGTTCACAGATGGTTCTCCACAATAGGCAGGTACCGCCCAAAAGTGGACAGCTGAAGCACTACAGCCCCTTTCTAGGACATCCCTGCAGGACAGTGGTGAAGGACAATCTTCCCAGTGGGCAGAACATTGAGCAGTGCACCTGATTGTGCACTTTGCATGGAAGGAGAAATTTCCAGATGTGCGGTTATATACTGATTCATGGACTGTAGCCAATGGTTTGGCTGGATGGTCAGGGACTTGGAAGAAGCATGATTGGAAAATTGGTGACAAAGAAACTTGGAGAAAGAGTATGTAGATGGACCTCTCTGAGTGGTCAAAAACTGAAGATATTTGTACCCTGTGTGAGTGTTGACCAACAAGTGACTTCAGCAGAGGAGGATTTTGATAATCAAGTGGATAAGATGACCCGTTCTGTGGATACCACTCAGCCTCTTTCCTCAGACACCCCTGTCATTGTCCAATGAGCCCATGAACATAGTGGCCATGGTGGCAGGGATGGAGGCTATGCATGGATTCAGCAATGTGGACTTCCACTCACCAAGGCTGAACTGTCTGTGGCCACTGCTGAGTGCCCAATTTGCCAGCAGCAGCAGCAGAGACTAACAGTGAACCCTTTGTATGGCGTCATTTCCTGGGGTGATGGACCAGCTACCCGGTAGCAGGTTGATTATATTGGAACTCTTCCACCATGGAAAGGAGAGAGGTTTGTCCTCATTGGAACAGGCACTTACTCAGGATATGGGCTTGCCTACCTGCATGCAATGCTTCTGCCAAGACTACCATTTATGGACTCAAGGAATGCCTTATCCACTATCACGGTATTCCACACAGCATTACCTCTGACCAAGCACTCACTTTACAGGTAAAGAAGTGAGGCAGTGGGCTCATGCTCACGGAATTCACTGGTCTTACCATATTCCCCATCTTCCTGAAGCAGCTGGATTGATAGAATGGTGGGACGGCCTTTTGAGGTCGCGATTACAACGTCAACTAGGTTACAATACTTTGCCGGGCCGGGGCACCATACTCCAGAAGACCATGTGTGCTCTGAATCAGCGCCCAATGTATGGTATTGTTTCTCCCATAACCAGGATTCACAGATCCAGGATTCAAGGGGTGGATGTGAAAGTGGAACCACTCACTATGATGCACTGGCAAAATGTTTGCTTTCTGTTCCCACGACATTAGGTTCTGCTTTACTAGTCATCTTAGCTCCAGAGGGAAGAACGCTGCTACCAGGAGACACAATAACGATTCCATTAAACTGGAAGTTAAGATGGCCACTTGGACGCTTTGGGGTCCTCCTACCTTTAAGTCAACAAGCTAAGAATGGAGTTACAGTGTTGGCAGCAGTGATTGACCCAGACTATCAAGATGAAGTCAGTCCGCTACTCCACAACGGAAGTGAGGAAGAGTATGCATGGAATATAGGAGATCCATTAGGGCGTCTCTTGGTATTATCATGAACTCTGATTAAGGTAAATGGGAAACTATACCCAATCCAGGTAGGACTACACATGGTCCAGATCCTCTCCGGGTCACGACCTGCTGAGGTGCTTGCTGAAGGCAAAGGGAATACAGAATGAATAGTGGAAGAAAGTAGTTATCAATACCAGCTACGACCACCTGACCAGCTGCAGAAATGAGGACTGGAACTATCATGAGTATTTCCTTCTTCTTTTGTTAAAAACATGTTTGTGCATGTATGCACTTGTACTAAGAAAATATCTTCATTTCATTTCCCTTTTCTTTATCAGGTGACATAGATTTGCTGACCTCATATCAGCATTTAAGTATTGTTTACTTTATGTAAGAGTATTTGGGTTGGGGATGGGTGCATTTCCAGTTGTAGGAAGGATAGTTTATTATGTTAGGGGTAATTATGACCTTACTATTGTCTGTATTTTAAGATTATGTATGATCTCAGGAGATGTGTGTGGGTTCAAGTTCACAAGGGGTGGGCTTGTGATGGTTAATAATGAGTGTCAACTTGATTGGATTGAAGGATGTAAAGTATTCATCCTGGGTGTGTCTGTGAGGGTGTTGCCAAAAAAAGATTAACATGTGAGTCAGTGGGCTGGGAAAGGCAGACCCACCCTTAATCTGTGTGGGCACAATCCAATCAGCTGCCAACCCAGCCATACTATAAGCAGGCAGAAAAATGTGAAAAGAGACGGGCCTCGCCTCCCAGCCTACATCTTTCTCCCACGCTGGATGCTTCTTGCCCTCGAACATGGACTCCAAGTTCTTCAGTTTGGGAACTCTGGCTGGCTCTTTTTGCTCCTCATCCAGCAGATGACCTATTGTGAGACTTGGTGATTGTGTGAGTTAATACTTAATAAACTTCCTGTATTAGCCAGTGGCATCTAGAGGGACAGAACTAACAGGATATATACATATATATATATATACATACACACACACACACACACACACACATATATATATTTATTTATAAAGGGGAGTTTATTAACTTACAGGATCATAAGTTACACAATGGGCTGTCTGCAAACTGATGAGAAAGGAGAGCCATGGAGTCCAATGTTTGAGGGCAGGAAGAAACCAGCATGGGAGAAAGATGTAGGCTGGGAGGCTAGGCCAGTCACTCCTTTTCAAATTTTTCTGCCTGCTTTATATTTGCTGGCAGCAGATTAGATTGTGCTCACCAGATTAAGGGTGGGTCTGCCTTCCCCAGCCCACTGACTCAAATGTTAATCTCTTTCGGCAACACTCTCACAGACACACCCTGGATCAATACTTCATATCCCTCAATCCTATCAAGTTGACAGTCATTATTAACCATCTCACTCCCCTTCATATATATATGTATATAGTCCTTTAATTCTGTCACTCTAGAGAACCCTGACTAATACGTCTACACTTCTGATGATCTATTTCTTTTATTTTAGGTCATTTATTTCCCCTGGGTTGCATACACTCGCTTCTTCCCACTCTCCTATGAAGGACAATATAAGCCTCTGGACCTCACTAGGTCAGGGCATGTCCCTGCTTGCACTATCCATGACACTTTCCTCTTTTACTCTTTAGCAATGAGGGAATGTCATCCTTACCCAGATGCCAGCCACCTGTCTCACATCCAGGACAGAGAGTCTCCATCTCCTCTCCAGCAAATACCCATGTATGTGGGCATGGTGGCATGCCCCTGTGATCCCAGCTACTCCATAGGCTTAGGGGGCAGAATCACTTGTGCTTGAGAATTCAAGGTTGCAAGGAGCCATGATCACACCACTGCACTTCATGCTGGGTAACTGAGTGAGACCCTGTGATTTTTCGCCTACATTTTACAGAATTTTTTTTTGCCTCTTTCTTCTATTAATTTATGTTTTGTCCATTCATTTTCTGCAATCCTTTAGAGGGCAAATAGGAAGTTTCCCTTTTTAACGTGGTGGCTCACGCCTGTAATCCCAGCACTTTGGGAGGCCCAGGTGAGCAGACCACCTGAGGTTGGGAGTTCGAGACTAGCCTGACCAACATAGAGAAACCCCGCCTCCACTAAAAAAAATACAAAATTAGCAGGCTGTGGTGGTGTGCACCTGTGATCCCAGCTACTCAGGAGGCTGAGGCAAGAGAATTGCTTGGACCTGGAAGGCGGAGGTTGCAGTGAGCCCAGATTGTGCCACTACACTCCAGCCTGGGTGACAAGAGCGAAACTCCGTCTCAAAAAAAAAAAAAAAAAAAAGAAACAAAAACAAACAAAGAAAAAAACACCTACTGCCTCACTGAATTAAAGGCGTGTTCAGCAGTTTCTTTGTTATTTCAAAGAGTGGCATCTGCTTCAGCAGGGTCAGTTTTTAATGTATTTGTTTTGTTTCTTTTTTCTCTGTCTGGTGTTCTTTTCTATTTTTAAATTTGAGGGATGAGGTTTTCATAGTACTGAATATCAAACAATGAATCCGCATGAATGATTCACCTAATTTCCCTGGTTTTAGTCCTCTATACAGGTTTTATATAGCAAAAGAACCATTTAAAGACTTGGGTTACAAATGTATTTTATTTTACCTCTGGCATGCCTTGGGCTGAGAAAGCATTATATGGTGGCACAATATTTGTAACATTCTCATAGCCATCTGGTGGTGGTTCGAGGTATGACATTTTGAAAATCTAGCAAGAATTAAAATATGTCAAGTTAGAGAGAAAAATTCCAGATTATTATTAAGTTATAATTCATTTTGCCCCAAGTATATACTTCAGATTAAGCATCCTGGAACTAGGTTCTATAATTAAATAAATTACACTGACAACAATGAGAAAGAACCTTACCATTATTATTGTCTTCCTAATAATAGAAACTTTTATAAATGCATGCAATCTCAGGTAACCAAAAGTTTCCTTATAAAGTGTAACAGCAGAGCTTCAAAGGTGGCACTTTGGCAAGCCTCTTTTTTTGACTATGCCTTTTCAGCTTCCTTTGTGGGCTCCTTTTCTTTCATCTTTATTTAAATAATATTTCCCTATGTTTTATCCCCAGCCCATTGCTTGCCTCTGTACTGCCTCCCTGCAAGACTTCATTAAGTATCAGAATTTTACCAATAGCTCATATGCTTATGATGCTTACCTTTTCAGATTCGTATATTTAAATGTTTTGTGGTTATTTCATCCTGGATGTCCAAACTCAACATGTTAAAATTCAAATTTATCATCTCTCACCCCGGGCCTGCTTTTGGTCTGCATTTCCTCCCTCTATTAATAGCTTCAGTCATTAGCCACCGACACCAGACAGTCTCGGAGTCATCCTGAACTCTATCTTCCCCTCCTTCCCCAAGTCAATCACTAATCAAGTCCTGCTAATACATTTCCTTACTATTTCTGAAACCCATCCCTCTTCCTCATTCCTACTAACATCCTAATTTAAAACTTTATTATCTTTTACCTGGACTATTGTCTTAAGACAACAACTTTAACCCGTTGCTTAGCCTAGGTGTAATCCACAGAGGATCTTGTCTGTCTAAAATGCCCCTCTAGCCACATCCTTCCCCTGCTCAGATCTTGTCATTGGCTCCCATGAACTGAAGTTGAAGTTTAAGCTCCTTAGGACAGCATACACGCCCTTCTATGATCTGTTCCCAGAACATATTTACTGGTTTATCTCATACCATGGCCCACTTTGTATTTTACACTTTTGAAATACAGAAAATAATTACATTCTCCCAATAATACTAAGCTAGTATATGCCTAAAAGCCTTTGCCAATATTTTGTCTTTTGTTGAGAATTCCCTTAGCTTATTTTGTCACGTGGTTAACTCCTTATGTCCTTTCATGACTCACATGTCAAGACTTCAGGAAACCTTCTCTAACTCCCAGGCTGGGCTGAGTGACCCTTTTCTGGGTAAATAATGAACTCTAATCATACTCTTCATAGCACTTACCGTACTAATTTGAAGTCTGAAGTATTCCATTGTCTGCCTCACTTTACTTAGGCAAAGGAACCATGTCCTAATCTCATTCTGGCCTCAGGACTTCAGCCTGGGCGACAGTGGGAGACTGTGTGTCAAAAAAAAAAAATTGCCAATGATTGAAGCCTAATACTGAAGATTCTGGTTTATTAATAATTAGTCTGTTCCTGGGTGTTAATTGAGCTCTCCAAGTGATTACTCATGTAGGACTTCAAAACAATAATTTAGAACCTTGTGACTCAAAACCTGGGCAAAAATAAGCAGCATCAGTATCACCTGAGAGCAGCTTCAGGTCTCACTTTAGATTTACTCTGAATCTAAATATTATATTTTAATTAAAAAAATTAACAGATGACAAGCTTCAACTACACGTAAATTCTTTAGATTTACTTTAAAAGAATCAACATTTTGACACAATACCAAAGTGAACTAAATTCGCTTTTTTTTTTTTTTTTTTTTTGAGACAGAGTCTTGCTCTGTTGCCCAGGCTGGAGCTCAGTGGTGCAATCTCGGCTCACTGCAACTTCCACCTCTCCAGTTCAAGCGATTATCTTGCCTCGGCCTCCAAAGTAGCTGGGATTACAGGCACATGCCATCATGCCCGGCTAATTTTTGTATTTTTAGTAGAGACAGGGTTTCACAATGTTGGGTCAGCTGGTCTCGAACTCCTGACCTCAAGTGATCTGCCCTCCTCGGCCTTCCAAAGTGCTGAGATTATAGACATGGGACACCATGCCCAGCCTAAATTTGCTTTAATTTGGAGAAGTACTGGTCTAGAAAACACAAATTCCAAGGAGACTCAGGTTCTTAAGTTGATTTCTTGAGTACAAGTCCTTCAAATGCATTCTCCAAGATTAATTTTTTTTTTTTTTTACTTTTTAAATTGACAAAGATTATACATATTCATGGCTCTACGGGGATGTTTCAGTACATGTAGATGGTGATCAGATCAGGGCAATTAGCATATCTATCATCTCAAACATTTATTATTTCTTTGTGTTGGGAACATTCAAACTACTCCTAGGTATTTTAAACTACATAATATAGCATTGTTAACTATAGTCATCTACAGTACTATAGAACACTAGAACTTATTACTCTTACCTAGCTGTAATTTTGTATCCATTAACAAATCTCTTACTATTCCTCCTTTCTCCCTACCCTTTTCAGCCTGCAGTATCCTCTGTTCTACTTTTTACTTCTATGAGATCAACTTTTTTTTAGCTTCTGCGTGAGTGAGAACATGTGGTGTTGAAATTTCTATTCCTGGCTTATTTTGCTTAGCATAGTATCCTCCAGTTCCATCCATGTTGCTGAGAATGACAGGATTTTATTTATTCTTTTTTATGGCTAAATAGCATTCCTTGGTGTATATATACCATATTTTAAAAATCCATTCATCTGTTGTTGGAAACCTAGGTTGATTCCATATCTTGGCTATTGTGAACACTGTTGCAATAAACATGGGGATGCAGATGTCTCTGCAATATAATGCTTTTCTTTCCTTTGGATAAATTCCCAGTAGTGGGATTGCTTGAGGTGTTTCAATACTGTTCTCCATACCGGCTGCACTAATTTACATTCCTACCAACAGTGCATAAGAGTTCCTTTTTCTCCAGCTACTCAGGAGGCTGAGGGAGGAGAACTATTTGAACCCTAGAAGCAGAGGGAGCCAGATTACACCACCACTGCACTCCAGCCTGGACGGAGAGTGAGACTCTGTCAAAAAAAAAAAAGTCCCTTTTCTTCACGTCTTTGTCAGCATTTGTTATTTTTGTCTCTTCTATAATAGCCATCCTAACTGGAGTAAGATGATGCCTCACTGTGGCTTTGATTAGCATTTCCTTGCTGATTAGTGGTGTTGAACATTTTTTCATATACTTGTTGGTCATTTGTATGTCTTCTTTTGAGAAATGTCTGTTCAGAGCATTTGTTTATATTTAATTAGATTGTTGTGCTTCTTTGCTGTTGATATGTTTGAATTCCTTGTATATTCTTGATATTAATTTCCTGCCAGATGAGTTTATATTTTCTCCCATTCTGTAGATTGCCTTTTCACTCACTTTATTATTTCCTTTGCTGTGCAGAAGATTTTTAGCTTGATGTGATCCCATTTGTTTATTTTTTCTTTTGCTGCCTGTGCTTTTGATGCCTTATTCATAAAATATTTTCCCAGAGCAATGTCCTGAAGGATCTCCCCTATGTTTTCTTCTAGTAGCTTTACCATTTTGGGTCTTATATTTGGGTATTTGAGATACTTTGAGTTGATCTTTGTATAGGGTGAGAGGCAGAGGTCTAGTTTCATTCTTCTGCATATGGATATCCAGTTTTTCCAGCACCATTTATCGAAGAGACTATCCTTTCCCCAATGAGTGTTCTTGGCGCCTTTGTAAAAAATCCGTTGGCTGAGATATGTGGATTTTCTGGGTTCTTTATTCTATTCCATAGGTCTATGTGTCTGTTTTTATGCCAATACCATGATGTTTTGGTTACTACAGTTTTGTAGTATATTCTGAGGTCTGGCAGCATGATACATCCAGCTTTGTTCTTTTTGCTTAGGATGGCTTTGGCTATTCAGGATATTTTTTGATTCCATAAAATCTCTTTGGATTTTTTTTAATTTTGTGAAGAATATTCATAGGTATTTTGATAGAGATTGCATGGAATCTGTAGGTTGCTTTTGAGTAGTACTGTCACTTTAACAACATTCATATTTCTGATCCATGAGTGTGAATGTCTTTTCATTTGTTTGTATCCTCTTCAATTTCTTTCATTAGTGTTTTGTAGCTTTCATTTTACCTCCTTGGTTACATTTATGTCTGGGTTTTATTTTTTTGGTAACTATTGTAAATGGGTTTGCCTTCTTAATTTCTTTTTCAGCGAGTTTGTTGTTCATATATATAAATGCAACCAATCTTTGTGTATTAGTTTTGTGTCTTGCAACTTCACTGAATTTGTTTGTTCTAAAAGTTTTCTGGTAGAGTCTTCAGGTTTTCCTATATATAAGATCATGTCATCTGCAAATAGGAACAATTTGATGTCCTCCTTTCCGATTTGAATGGCCTTTATTTCTTTCTCTTGTCTAATTACTCTTGATAGGACTTCACATTTATATACTTTGAATATTTAAAATGTTTACATAAATGTCAGAATCAACTTTCATTTTTCATAGAAAAAGAAGACCCTACTTGTTTTGTAGTTTTAATATTAATCAATTATTATTATCTGAGACAAATTATTTAACAAATTAAACTGTCTATTAAAATATTTCACCACAAATAAATTCCATAAGGAAAATATCTACAACTGTTTTTATGAAAGAATAAAAGGCTTCTCTACAGTTGCGTAGGCCCGGTGCCATGGCACACACCTATAAATCCCAGCACTGTGGGAGACCATGGCAAGAGGATCCTTTGAGCCCAGGAGTTTGAGACCAGCGTGGACAACAAAGTGAGACCTCATCTCTACAAAAAATAAAAAAGAAATTAGCTGGCCATGGTGGTGCGTGCCTGTGGTCCTAGCTACTCGAGAGGCTGAGTAAGGAGGATCACTTGAGCCAGGGAGGTGGAGGTTTCACTGAACCATATTCACGCCACTCCACTCCAGCCTGGGCAACAGAGCTAGACCTTGTCTCAAAAAAATTAAGTTAGTTAAATTAAACATGAAGTTGCATTGTATTTAAGAAATTTGGAAAGCAGAAAATGCTTCTGCTTTTCTTTTGAGTTGAACAATGAGAACACATGGACACAGGGAGGGGAACATCACATACCGGGGCCTGGGGGAGTGATAGCATTAGGAGAAATACCTAATGTAGATGATGGGTTGGTGGGTGCAGTAAACCATCATGGCATGTGTATACCTATATAACAAACCTCCAGGTTCTGTACATGTATCTCAGAACTTAAAATGTAATAATAACAATAATAAAAATGACAAAAAAAAGGAAATGCTTCTTGTTAGAACAGATTACATACCCTCATTGCTTTTTATAATAGCCTATAATAACAGAATATCCACAAGGTGGCAGTAATATATCAGTTTTATCCTCTGAAATTAAAACTTTTGCCTATTCAGTAATACAATGGATCTTTTGAACTCACTCTAACACGTAGAATACAGCAATTTGACTTAATAATTAGCCTTTAAATTTATAGTCTTGTATTATCACTTTAGTGGTTTGAATTATGTTGTATTTTAATATATTTAAATGAATTCGTCCTATACAAATTGACTAATTTGACATGTGGAGGTGTTTTTATTCAATTTTCAGAAGTTTAGCTTTAAAAAAATTTCTAAACTTTGATATCTGGTGAGTGCCAATGTTTTTATCTTATTAAAAGGTGACAGACCACACTATATTCAACTGATTTTTTTTTTTTTAACAAGGATGCAAAATCAGTTTAAAGGAAGGATATCTTTTTCAACAAATGGTGCTAGAGCAATTGGACATTCACAGGTACAAAAACTAAGACTGACCTAAATTTATACTTTATACAAAATTTAGCTCACATAAATCACAGGCTTAAATGTAAAATGTAATATTATAAAACTTAAAGTTGTGTATGGTAGCTCGTGCCTGTAATCCCAGCTACTACTCAAGTGGCTGAGGTGGAAGGATCACTTCAATCCAGCCGTTAGTGGCTGCAGTGAGCAATGATGGCACCACTGCACTACAGCTTGGGTGAAACCTCGTCTCAAAAATAATAAATAAATAAATAAATAAATAAATTCATTAAACTTTTTAAAACAGAAGAAAACTCTTGAGACCTTGGGCTAGGCAAATAATTTTTAGGCTTGATGTCGAAAACAAAATCTACAAAAGGGAAAAGTGATAAAACTGGACTTCATTAAAATAAATAAACACTTTTTTATTTTTTTTTTTTTATTTTATTTTTTTTTTACTTAGAAAGACCCTGTAAAGAGGTTGAAAAAATGAATTACAGACTGGGAGAAATAATTTGCATACCATGTATCTGACAAAGAACTTACATCTAGCATATGTAAAAAATTCTCAAAACTCAATAGTAATAAATAAGGTATCCAATTAGAAAATAGGCATATGTGACCTCTCTGTATTATAACTTAAACCTCATGTGACTACAATTATTTCAAATGAAATAAACAAAACAGTAATGCCTGTTTCTAGCATATAAAATAATCAGAGAACATAGAATTATACGAAGTTAAATTATTGGGCCATTTACTTAATTTAAATATTTTTAAATGCTTGTACCCATTTTGCTTGAAGGTGTGTGCAAGTATGCTTGTATTTTTTTAACGATAATATGGTCACATGAGCATTAATTCTTTTTTTTTAAGTTTATAGTTACCCCACACAAGTTCTTATTGATTCCCTCATTCTTAACACCTGCATAGTATTTCATTTTATAATTAATGGATTGTAGGTTTATTCTTTTAAAATCACTTGTGTTGTTCTCATGTATTTTTTTTTTTCACTAAAAAGTGTTGCAATGCACAAAACTAAAAATATAACGAGGGTCTTTTCTGGATCTCTGTTGAAAAACTTTGAATAAAAATTACAAGTTCAAAATCACATGCAAAATAAACATTTTAATTAATAGGGCTTTTGTGCAAGATGTTAGCAGCAGCAGCAGCACAGTTTTATTAATATCCCTGAATCTCTCACAAAAACTGACTGAGCAACTGGGATAACAAGGTATTAACTATGACAAAACAATGTAACAGGGTGTCATCATGGACCTTTTGTGAGGTTAAACCACAGGGACCCAGGCGAATCACCAATTTTTTTGGAAGAAGGAAAGGAAAGAAAAAAATGTTTAATGGCCCTGGGAACTGGAAAACCTAGAAATACAAGCGCTAACATCTATGTTCCTAAATTCAGAGATTCTTACTAGGCAAAAAGAACTCAGCAGATTAATCTGACAACAGCAGCTGAGGCTGGCAGAAGGCTTCCTGGACCTCAACTCATAGCTGAGAGTGAGGATGGCAAAAAGCAGGTGCTGTGAGTGGTCTGTTTCCTATGAACCCTACAAATTAACCACCCCCAAAACAAAGCCCTGTCCTAAGGAGAAACTGCAGGAAGTCAATTATAAATTGAGTTGGGAAGCACACTGAGGCTCAAGAAAAGGGAAGCTCCAGGTTAAGATGCAAGAGAAGAAGGGAAAAGGCAGTTTTCTGCAAGTTCAAGCACAAATAATTTCTTTACCTTCTAGTTCTGGAAATACCAGGTGCTGTGTATGTAAAGCAGGAATTTTGGTTGAATATTATATAATTTTCTGACCCACTGTTACTAATCCAGTTTCCCCTGTACTCAGGTCTTCCATGCTACAGACAGACTGACAGATGCTCAGCAAATAGTTGCTAATATTTTCTAGGTAACTAGGTGCTAAACGAGTTTTCTTAAATTTCTACCTCCAGGTCTGTAAGTTGATTTGAAGCATTACCAGTTTCTGGTTCTGCACAGGTTGTTGAGCGCAGGACTTCTCTCCTCCAGTGGAAAGTCCACCTGCTCACAATCAACCATCCTTTCCTGCGGCCTTGAGACACTACTCAGTGTAGCACGCCTCCCAGTCTAGAATAGGCACACTTATCATCAGTCTCTCTCATTTTCTGTCTTATCTCCATTCCATCTACATACAGTTTTTGTTTTCGCCAATGTTTTTAACTAAACAACTGTACAAGCACAACAATGACAACAGAAACCTCCCTTCCCCCAGTGTTGTAGTGAGCAAGGAATATATTTAACTTCAAATAAAAGACAAAAACAAATGCTGGATAAAGCTGACAGAAAGAAATGCAACTGTAGGTGCTCTGGCAATATAGAAATGATACAACTAAGAAAAATGGAAGAAAAGGAAAGAGAAAGTATTTCTCAGAATGATTTTACTGACTGCTCATCTGTAATGCCTGGGAGTCAAAGGATATTGTTTATAGAAATGTAAGCATACTTAATGGCACCAGGGGAATCAAAGTTAATATGATTAAATCAAATTGTGGGATGAAAAATCACATAGGAAGGACAAGAAAGAGAATACAGCTAATACCATTGTTCTTAGTCTAGAGACATTAGCTACTGTCTAAAGAAAGCGATGATTTTATGAAATTACATAAGGTAGTCATCAGAATAAAAGTTTAACTCTTCCAAATATCACAACATCAAAACAAAAGCAATAAAAACAAACAAGACAGCAAAAGACAGATATGTGCATATAAATCATAGCATAATATACTGTAATCAAAATATAACCAAACACAATTTATCATTAAAAGTAAGTGGGCTTGACTCTTATTAGAGGAAAAAATATTGTCAGATTAAATCAAAAAGCAAATCTCAATTCTATGCTGGATATAAGATAAAGTGTTACAGAAAGTTTAGAAATAAAAGTATAGGCAATGAATAAAAGGATCTTCTCTTCATGCGTTAGGAGTATAAAACAGTACGTAAACACATCATACGTTTTCTGTTTTTACCCTTAAATGGCTGGAGATGTTACACCACTAGTATGAATCTACTTCAGATATATAAAGGATACATTTTTATGTGGTTAGAAACAGCAATGATAATAGTTAAGGTGAAAATAACATCTGCATTGATGCTAGGAAGAAAGAGCCATTGTTGGGTACACAGTGATTACATTACCATGGAGCAATCTGTTCCCAACTGAAATGTCCTTGCCCTTCTACTGAAATCATGTAAGATTCTGCAAAAGTAGTGTTTACTTCCCACAAATCAGCCATTTGTGGGAATGGCTGCTATTGTTGTCCACACGGAATGAGCATTAGACCTATATTTAGCTGTTGTATCATTAAGAGTCATATTTGGCCCTTTCCAGAGGCTATTATTTCAATTATATTTTGGAGAATTAGTCTATTTCCAGGCAAATAATTTTTCCAGAACTTTGATCCATATGAAACGTCCCTTTGGTAGGGATCCAGGGATTGAGTTTATTTTTAATTATTGTAGCATCCTGGTCAGGTTGAGAAACAGATTACCTTTATACTTCCCTGGCATGTGAGCAGGGCTAGATTTAGCGTGAGAATGCTTGAAAGTTTATAGTTTTTTTAGAAATTTTATTTACAGTGTGTCTCTTTATCAAAATAAAATTAATGCTGAAAAGCTATATTAAATGAATTATTTTGAGATGGTCTCTTCCCCCTTCTTCCAATGAGAGGATATCCACAGATATGTCAGGAGCTTGCTTTACCTAGAAATGTGTTGAGGGCCACAGGTTTGGGTTCACCTAGGAATGTTTAGGGACACCTCCCCAAGTTGTTGTTGAAGAGTGGGGTAAATGTAAGATAGAATTAGGCTCACAGAGGCCAGATGAGAGCATCATGTCACCCCAGAAACACAGCATATACCTAGGAGATCTGTTCTCAGTATCAAAGTCTTAAGCACTGTAAGATTGCCTATAGACCAAGACAACAACTATATATATATATATATAGTTAATAAAATCAGTTAATATATACACATATATTTATTTATTTATTAACTTATTTTCATTTTTATCTTCAGACAGCATCTTGCTCTGTCACCTAGGCTGGAGTGCAGTAGTGCAATTAAGGTTCACTGCAGCCTTGACCTCTGGGGCTGAAGCTATCGTCCTGCCTCAGTCTCCTAAAGTGCTAGGATGAGAGGTGTGAGTCACCTTGCCAGGCCCAGGGCAATAACTATGCAATGTTTATATAATTTGGAGCAAAAAATATTTGAAATATGTGTGCATTGCTTTTTAACCTTTTCTATTGATTTACTTTATTAAATACTGAACAGAAACAATATATTTATAAAATATTGATTTTATATATATAATAAGCACATAATGAACACCTGTGTCTCCAGTCTTGGTTTAAGAAATTAAGCCAAAAGTAATCATAAGTGCTTATGATTACTTTTGAAGTCACCTGTACAACTTTTGCTGACTACATCCCCTTCTTCAACACTCTAACGATGGCCACTGTGAGCACTGTGTATATTGAATTGTGTTGTATTTTAATACCGTGTGCACTACATTGTTTTCCTAGCTGTATGCTATTGCATTTAGTGAGCATAATGAATTATATCAGTATAATTCACTTTTGTCATTTCATTGTTTCAGATTTTCTGTACTAATTATTGCCAATATACTTCTACTGGCATAAAAACAGACACATAGGACAGTGGAACAGAATAGAGATCGCAGACAAATCTACACATTTACAAACAACTCATCTCTGACAAAGGCATCAAGAACATACACTGGGAAAACAACAGTCTTTTCAATAAATGATCCTGGGACAACTGAATAACTATATGTAGAAGGATAAAATTAAACCCATCTCACCATACACAAAAATCAAATCAAATAAAAATTGATTAAGGACTTGAATCTGAGACCTGAAACTATGAAGCTAGTAAAAAACAAACAAACAAAAAAAAGACGTGGGCGCGGTGGCTCACGTCTGTAATCTCAGCACTTTGGGAGGCCAAGGCGGGCGGATCACAAGGTCAGGAGATCGAGACCACCCTGGCTAACACGGTGAAACTCCGTCTCTACTAAAAATACAAAAAAAAAAAAAAAAAAAATTAGCGGGGCATGATGGTGGGCGCCTGTAGTCCCAGCTACTCGGGAGGCTGAGGCAGGAGAATGGTGTGGAAAAAAAAAAAAAAGAAAGAAAAAAAGAAAGCATAGGAGAAATGCTCCAGGACATTAGTCTGGGCAAAGATTTTTTTGCGTAAGACCTCGGAAGCACAGGCAACCAAAGCAAAAATAGACAATGGGATTATATCAAACTAAAAAGCCTCAAGCAAAGGAAACAATCAATAAAGTGAAGAGCCAACCACAGAATGGGACAAAATATTTTCAAACTATCTATCTGATAAAGGATTAACAAGTAGAATATATAAGGAGCTCAAACAACTCAATAATAAACAAACAAAAAATCTGATTGAAAAATGGGCTACTGAAGAGGCTGAGGTAGGAGGATTTCTTTTTTTTTTTTTTTTTTTTTTTAAGATGGAGTCTCGCTGTCGCCCAGGTTGGAGTGCAGTGGCACGATCTCGGCTCACTGCATGCTCTGCTCCCCCGGGGCTCACGCCATTCTCCTGCCTCAGCCTCTTGAGTAGCTGGGACTACAGGCGCCCGGCGCCAAGCCCGGCTAATTTTTTGTATTTTTAGTAGAGACGGGGTTTCACCGTGTTAGCCAGGATGGTCTCGATCTCCTGACCTCGTGATCCGCCAGCCTCGGCCTCCCAAAGTGCTGGGAATACAGGCGTGAGCCACCGCGCCCGGTCAGGAGGATTTCTTAATCCCAGGAGTTTGAGGTTACAGTGAGCTATGATTATGCTACTGCCCTTTAGCTTGGGTGACAAAGCAAGACCTTGCTTCTAAAAAAATAATAGTTAAAAATATATAAATAAATACAATTTAAAAATGGGCAGAAGATCTGAACAGATATTTTCTCAAAAGAAGACATACAAATGGCCAATAGGAAGATGAAAGAATGTTCAATATCACTAATCGTCAAAGAAATGCAAATCAAAATCACAATGCAATATCATCTCACCTTGGTTGAAATGACTTGTTTCAGAAAGACAGGCAATAACAGATGCTGGCAAGGATGTGGAGAAAGGGAAATACTAGTACACTGTTGGTGGGAATCCACATTAATAAAGCCACTATGGAGAACAGTATGGAGGTTCCTCAAAAAAGTAAAAATAGAACTACCATGTGGTCCAGCAATTTCTTTACTGGATATATATCCAAAATAAAGGAAATTAATGTATCAAAGACATGTCTACATGCCGATGTGTACTGCAGCACTATTCACAATAGACAAAATATGGAATCAATGTAAGCGCTCATCAACAAATGAATAGATTTTAAAAGTCATATATATACATAATGGAATTCTACTCAGATACAAAGAAGAATGAAATTCTGTCATTCGCAGCAACATAGGTGGCGCTGGCCATTTGGCTTAACGTAATGAACATAGGCCATTATGTTAAGTGGAATGAGCCAAGCACAGAAAGGCAAATACCACATGTTGTCACTCATATGTGGGCAGTAAAAAAGTGGATCTCATGAAGATAGAAAGTAAATTGGTGGTTGCTAGAGGCCAGCAAGGGGAGTGGGAAGAGGAGATTAAGAGAAGAAAATATAAATGTATTTATCACCACTAAACTGTCCTCTAAAAATGTACAGATGGTAAATTATATATATATTTTTTAACTCAATAAAAAGTTAAAAAAAATTCTGCTGTGTGTTTATAGGGCACATGTACGAGACTTTCTCTAGGGTTGTATCAGTTTTCTATTCCTGCTGTGACAATTTACCACAAATTCAGTGGCTTAAAAGAACACATTTTTGTAAGATTTGAGTCAGTTTTAAAAAACACACACAAACTTATTGTCTTAGAATTGTTTTGGTTGGAAATCTGGCATGGCTCTCACTGAAATAACATCAAGATGTTGGCAGGCTGCATTTCTTTCTGAAGGCTCTAAAAGAGCATCTGGGTTGTTGGCAGAATTCAGTTCCTTGTGGTTGTAGATCCTCAGTTTCTTCCTGGTTGTAAACTTTGGGTCATTCCCAGCTTCTAAAGGTCACTGGCTTTCCTTGGCTTGTGGCCCCCTACCACTGTTTTAAAAGCCAGTAATAGCAGGCCACATCTTTCTCATACTGCCATCTGTCTGAATCTCAGCATCCAGAAAATATTCTCTGCTCTCAAGGAATTATGAGATTGGCTCACCAAGGTAATTCAAGGTAATTTCCCCATTTCAATGCCCTTAATGGTAATCACATCTGCCAAGTCCCTTTGAACATGCTAACTTACGTTAGCATGTTCACCTTATCTGAAGACTGGGATGTGGCTGTCTTTGGTGGGGGGCAATTATTCTGCCTAACCCAAAGATACACAACTTGCAGATATACAACTAGTTCATGGAGATGAAACATTTTCAAATCTACAAGAAAATGTTTTCTAAAATGAGCATTTCATATTAGACTTTCACGAGCACTGTATCAGAATTATATTTACTTCATAATGTTGCCAATACTGATATCAGGTATTTAATTTTCTAGCCAGTTCAGGATAATGTGAATTGTGAATAATATATTTGTTCATTCAGTCAACAAACATGTTTTATCAGATACCACCGATATGCTGGTCAGTGTCATGGATCCTAAAAATATAGCTGTTATTATTATTTTTTTAAACAAAGTCCCCACTGTGATAAAGCTTTTATTCTTTGGGACAGGCAGACAGTAATCCAGATAAATAAATGCAAGGGCAAATTGGGGGAAAAATTGGAATGGAGAGCTCAGAATCTGGCCCCAGAGAAGGGCAGAGGGAAAGGGGACCCAGTTCAGACTCTCGGTGCGTCCACATCAAACAATTCCATGAGGGCTGAGGAGACACAGCTGAAAGGCTTGTCTGACATCACAACAGACAGAAAAGTGAGCCCCATTTTCATCTCTATCCTGACAATGTTCCTGGCTTGATTTCCTCCTTCCAGCAGACACAAGAATCAGGGAGCGCACCCTGATGGTAACATTTTTGTCAGGGGCCTATTTTGGGGATCCTGGTGAGAACCTGAGTCCGTCACTGTCCACGGCAGCCCAGCATGGTCCCCAGTGCGTAGGCCAAGGCCAAGATTCTCTACCTCCATCCTGGAGGCAGAAGAAATGTCTGGGGGAAAATGAGAGGTTTTAGGTGGTTGGCACTGGGTGAGACCAAGGAGAAATTTTAAAGCTGTGTGTCCTGGGGCCGGGGGCGGTGGCTCACGCCTGTAATCCCAGCACTTTGAGAGGCCGAGGTGGGCAGATCACGAGGTCAGGAGATTGAGACCATCCTGGCTAACGGTGAAACCCCGTCTCTACTAAAAATACAAAAAATTAGCCGGGCTTGGTGGCGGGCACCTGTAGTCCCAGCTACTCGGGAGACTGAGGCAGGAGAATGGCATGAACCGGGAGGCCCAGCTTGCAGTGAGCTAAGATCGCGCCACTGCACTCCAGCCTGGGTGACAGAAAGAGACTCCTTCTCAAAAAATAAACTAAAATAAAATAAAAATAGAAAATAGAAAAAGCTGTGTGTCCTTTGTTTCTTCATATTTTGCAGATTTTTGATGTCAAAATATTTTCATAGTCAAAAGAGTGTTAATAAAGAATGACTTCTCTGTTATAAAAACCCTAATAGTGAATGTATTTACCAAGAAGTTAGATTCTGTCTTTGGTTTTTTGTTTTTTGCCCCGTAGTTTTTTAAAAATAGTTTTATTGTATGGATATTCTACAGTTGGTGTATCTATTCAACACTTGATGGACATTTGGTTTGCTTCCAGTTGTTTTTGCTATTTCAAATAAAGTTGCTACGAATGTTTGTCCAATAGTTTGGACATACGCTTTCATTTGTCTTGGGCAAATAAGCAGGATTTGAATGACTAGGTGGTGTGATATGTTTAACTTTTTTTTTTTTTTTTGAGACGTAGTCTCGCTTTTTTCCCCCCGCCGCCGTGGCTTTTTGCCCGCCTCGGCTTTTTGCCCTCCCCTCCTCAGGTGCCGTGGTTATTTGCCCACCAGGGCTTTTTGCACCCCCGCCGCGCGGCTTTTTGACGCCAGCCGCCATGGCTTTTTACCCCCCGCCGCCGCGGCTTTCTGCCCGCCCCGGCTTTTTGCACCCCCGCCGCGGCTTTTTGCCCCCTGCCGCCGCGGCTTTTTGCCGGCCATGGCTTTTTGCCCCCCCCGCCACTGCGGCTTTTTGCCCCTCTGCCGCCGCGGCTTTTTGTCGCAGCGGCTTTTTGCCCGCTCTGGCTTTTTGCCCCCACTGCCCCGCTGCCTCGGCTTTTTGCACACCCGCCGCCGTGGCTTTTTGTCCGCGGCGGCTTTTTGCCCGCCACGGCTTTTTGACTCCCCGCTGCTGCGGCTTTTTCCCCGCCGTGGCTTTTTACCCCCTGCCCCCACGGCTTTTTACCGGCCGCGGCTTTTTGCCCCCACCCTGCCTCGGGTTTTTGCCCCGCCGCGGCTTTTTGCCCCCGCCGCCCCGGATTTTTGCTGCTGCGGCTTTTTCCCCCGCCGCCTTTGCAGCCTTAATTTCACTTGAAATCTAATTTCCCACTGCCATGCCACCTAACATATTTGTATGTTAGACTCTGGGAATTAGGACATGAACATTTTTCGGGGGCCATTATTTTGTCTACAGCAGACAGAATCTACACTGCCTGGGAGGCACAGAGTATCTTGGGGGAGGCAGGGCCAGCCCTTCCCTCCGTGGACACCCAGCTTTCCCACAGGCCCTACATGTCTGTGGGTTCCTTGTGTGACCAGGTGATCTACCCGGACTCAGTGGAGGGCATGCGAAGGAAGGGCTACCCGGAGCAGGACCTGGAAGCCATCCTGGACATCGTGCACCTGCACCACATCCTGCAGTGGGAGGGAGGTAGGAGGCCTGGGGCTGGCAGCCGCCCTTTGTCCCACCCTGGCCTCTCCCTTGGCCTCCAGGGAGTGAAGATTATCTCAATATCCAGGAGTCTAAAGTGCCAGGTGCCACAGGGGCAGGGCAGAGGGTGCTACCTCTGAGGCCTGCCTACCAGGGAGGACCAACAACACACAGATGGCCCCAGGTGGCATGGGTGCTCTAGGGAAGGGGGCACCTAGCAGGGATGCGCACCTCATTGGGGTACCCAGGATACCCTCTCCCAGAGAAAAGGAGTCTGAGCTGAGCCCTGCAGAATGCTGAGTGGTTACCCCGTCCAGGAGCCAGGGGCAGCAGGGCAGAGTGCGGCCCGCAGGCTTGGTGGTGTGAGAGGCTGGCTCACAGAGGGCCCTCCGGACCAGGCGGGAGCCTAGGCTTTCCCTGAGCGGGATCAGACGCTCTTGGAAGGACCATGGGGCGGTGGGCAGGGGCAGCCTGGGAGGGGCAGGAACATGTGTGCAGTGATGGCTACTGTCAGGAGGTCTGTGCAGACGCTTGGAGGGGGCTGGGGCCAGCAGAGTCAGGTGGATTCAGAGATGAGTTCACTGAAAAGGAGGCCAGACTGAGCTGTTTTCTTGTCCTGGGCTTATCAAGGAATACTGCTTGTCCACAGTGGCTGTCGGGCCAGGAGAGCGGAGGAGGAGAGGGGGGTGCAGCTACAGGGACACAGTAGATGGAGCGTTCAGTTCTGTCTTTGAATTCTGAGCCTCTGGGTTCTGCTTCCAGCCCCCACTGCTGGGTGTGAGATGGTCCTGGGCAAGGACCTCGCCTTGCTGGGGCTCCCCTTCATGTTTCAAGGGCATGGGCACCAAGCCCTCCCTCGGTGGCAACATAAGAAGAAGTGGCTCCCACAGGAAATGACCAGGGTGTTGTCATCTGCCTGTGGAGGAAGCGGGAACACAGGTGGCGATGGTGGTGGAGCAGCCCCTGGCCCGACCCTGCCTCTTGCTCCTGCTGCCCTCGGCCTGGGAGCACATGGCCCCTCCCGCCTCTGTGGCAGCCTGAATGCCCAGGGCCTGTGGCCAGCCAGCATGAGCCATTAGGATGGAGTTGAGCTGCGAGGAACAGAACCAGCCTCCCCGCAGTAGTGGCTAAGATCATCTGTGAGTTTATCCTACTGAGCTGTTAGATCCCAAGAGAGCCAGGCCACAGTTGCCAGGGCTGGCCCTGCTCTATGAAGGCCCCGAGGCTCTAGGATTTTCTACCATGTCACTCTGCTGTGTGTGGCCTCCATTCCCAAAGTCACCTCATGATCCAGGAGGGCTGCTGCAGCCCTCACCTCATGTCCCAGGCTGTAGGATGGAGGAAGTAGAAGGAAAGGGGCAAAAGGTATGTGTCTTCTATCTTTTAAGGAAGGTTCCAGAAGCCGCCATATTGAATACTTACAGTTATATCTCATTGGCCACAACTTAGTTTCATGCTCACACCTCACCACAAGGCCACCTGGGAAGCGTAATCTCTACTCTGGGTGGCCATATACCCTGTCGCCACTTCTAGCCCTGGGCCGCTGGGGAAGGCAGCATGGGCGAGAAGACAGGAGGGGCCACTTCTGCCGCAGTGCCCCGGCCTAATGGAGCAGCCGGCTCACCTGCTCCTTCAAGCAGCCCACTCGAGCCTTACCAAAGTGCTGGCACGGGGCAGTGACAGGAGGCCCAACCCCTGTGGGTGACAAGCCCCTGGTCTGGGGAGAGAACTCAGGCCGCTCTGGAGCTCTGTGCCAAGGAGCTGTATGGGTGTCCTGGGGCTGCCATAAACCGCAGGGGTGGATCATCTCCTGGATCCAGCAGTCCGAGATCCTGGTACCAGCAGGGTGGGTTCCTTCCAGGTGCCATGACAGAAGGATGTGTTCCAGGCCTCTGTCCTCGGCTCACAGATGGTCCACTTCTCCCTGTATATCTTCACCTCGTGTTCCCCTGTGCACGTCCTCTGCCCGCACACCCCCTTTTTATGAGGACACAGTCATATTGAATTAGGGTCCGCTCTGATGACCTTATCTTAGTGTGATCACCTCTGCGAAGGCCCTGTCTCCAAATAAGGTCACACTGAAGTGTTGGGGCTTGGACTTCACCATATCTCTTCTGGGGGAAGGCACGATTCCAGTCCCCACTCCTCCATGATTAATACCTGTCAGACAGACAAGGACGCAGAGGCACAGGGGCCCTGTCGTCACAGCTAGCTCATTCCCGCAGCTCCCCCAGCTCCCCGGCTGGACCCCAGGTCTGGGTACTGGTGGAACTGAGCCAAGACCATTGCCCCTGCCTAGGTTGGGAGGCTATGTGTGACTGGAAAGATGTCCTGCCGGGTGGCGAGAAGCAGAGAATCGGCATGGCCCGCATGTTCTACCACAGGTGAGCACTCCGGGCCGGCAGGCTCCCTGGGGTCCCCTGGAAGGAGAAGTAGCAGCTGTGGGGAGGCCTGGGCTCAGTGGAGCCTGAGCCGGACTGGGGTGTTGGGCCCTGGAGGGTGCACAGACTCTCCTCTCGGCCCGGACCCCCAGGCCCAAGTACGCCCTCCTGGATGAATGCACCAGTGCTGTGAGCATCGACGTGGAAGGCAAGATCTTCCAGGCGGCCAAGGACGCAGGCATTGCCCTGCTCTCCATCACCCACCAGCCCTCCTGTGGTAGGTGCCCTGTCTCCCTGCCTGGGGTCAGTGGGAGTGGCTGCCTGAGGGGAGGAGGTGGCCTGTTGGGCCAGGCGGCAGCAGCAGGCGGCTGTCATCAGCAGCCCTCGTGCCATGCCCCTGACCCTGTCCCTCTCCTGGCCAGGGAGTACCACACACACTTGCTACAGTTCGATGGGGAGGGTGGCTGGAAGTTCGAGAAGCTAGGCTCGGCTGCCCGCCTGAGCCTGACAGAGGAGAAGCAGCGGCTGGAGCAGCAGCTGGCGGGCATTCCCAAGATGCAGCGGCACCTCCAGGAGCTCTGCCAAATCCTGGGCGAGGCCGTGGCCCCAGCGCACGTGCCGGCACCTAGCCCGCAAGGCCCTGGTGGCCTCCAGGGTGCCTCCACCTGACGCCACCCTCCCCAGCCCCTGCCCCGCCCCCAAGCTCGAATCACATGAAGGAGACGGCAGCACCCACCTGCGCACGCACCCCGCCCCTGCATGCCTGACCCCTCGTCCTAGAAGACGCTTCCCGACCTCGGGAAAGTAGATGTGGAGGGTGGCGCCTTGCGTAACCCTCGCCCTGTCCCTCCCACTCCCTGGGGGGGCTGTTCCACAGTGACTGGGCCCTGTCCAGGGCAGTGAGTCCTCTACTTTGCTCCGTGGAGGAAGCTGGGGTACAAGGGGCCCAGTGCTGGCCACACAGCAGCGCAGCCGAGCCCCAGGAGCCCCTCAGGCCACAGCCCCTGGCGCTGCAGGTGGCCTCCCTCCTCGTCAGTCTCTCAAAGACCCCACGGTCCATCCCCTGAGGGTGGCCAGCCAAGGCTCCCATCCCATGCGATGCTATAAAAGCCGCCCAGTGGTACCCACGGTCACACAGAGCGCCTCACCTGCATCCTCTCCTCCACAAGAGCCCCGAAGATCCCACGGGAGAGGGACGCACAGCATTGCCTGCGGAGCGAGAATGTAGGCCCCGCCCCCTCGGCCCCTCACCTTCTCTTTCTACAGCCTAATTTATTGGATTCCCTATTCGTAGCCATCTCCGTGGCCAATGTGACTACCCTGCCAGCAGCGGGGGCGGCCCAGCCTCTGAGTCCCCTGGGGTCCCGGCTCCCACCGGTGCCAAACCCAGCCCCTGTGGCCGTCACCCCGCCAGCCTACATTGCCAGCCGCCACCTGGCCACACGGGCTTCTGCTTGCTAGCTGGGAGTGCGGACACCATGTTCCCAGCTCAGTGCCAAACAGGGGTCACCAGGGGGAGCCGTCTGCAGAGCCAGCGCCTGCCCGAGAGACCCCACCGCCACTGTGTGCCTTTCCCAGGCCCTCAGCCCTCAGGCCGGGCGCCATCCCGAGTCCCCCCAGTAAAAGCCTCCATTGGCAAATGCAGTCCTTCCTCCCTGCCTCAGAGTGTAGTGGTGTCTGCTGCGGGTCTTGGGGAGAGATGGAGGAGAGGGAGTGGGTTGCCTGTGGGGGAAAGAGTGAGTTTGGGAAATGAGTGGGCCTGACCCCCAAGCCCCTCTGTGGGGGAAAGTCACCAGAAGACATGGTCCAACATGCCCTCCACCGAGCCTCACGCCCATGCTCTTAGGATTCCTGTGACGGTGGTGGGGCAGAACCTGCAACAACATTGCACAGAAATACTGGCTGAGCCCAAATAGGACTAGGGGCGGGGATCATGCTGGTCCCTGTGGGAGGAGCACGAAGGCAAGAGAAGGGATGTCTAAGCTGCCACACAGGGTGTTGCTGGCCCGTCTAGAGAGAGGAGGCCACTTGTGCAGGGGCTTGGGGGGAACTGGGAGCACAGTGCAGGGTGTTAGTGCTGCATACAGGGGGAAGGGAGGGCACGGGAAGGGAGGGCTGTGGCTGGCGGGCCTTGGAGGCCACACTACAGAGACAGGACTTAGCCCAGAGGCCACCGAGGAGCTTTCAGCAACAGGGAAGCAGTGTCGAGTACTGCAGGCCAAGTGGCTGCATGTGAGGGTGGCTGGTGGGAATAGGGTGCGGCAGCCCATCTGGCCTCAGAGGCATGAGAACTGAGAACAGCTGTGCGGCCATACCTTTATGCATGGATGGCCATAGCCTCCCAAAGGTGGGACAGCCTGAGTGTTCATCAACAGACAAATGGACAAACAGCCTGTGCATAAGGCGCGGTGCCATTCCACCGTAACACGACGGATAGACCTCAAAGAGTTCGTGCTGGGTGAAAGAAGCCAGACACAAATGTCCAGAATAGGCTCATCGGGACAGAAAGCAGATGAGTGGGTGTCAGGGGCTGGGGCAGGGGAAGGAAAATGGGGCAGGGGCAGTCCTTTTTAAAAAATTTTGTATTTATTTTTTATTTTTTAATGAGACAGACAGGGTCTCACCCTGTCACCCAGGCTGGAGTGCAGTGGCGCAGTCATAACTCACTGCAGCCTTGATCTCCCGGGCTCAAGCAATCCTGCCCCAGTCTCCTGAGTAGCTGGAACCACAGGCGTGTGCCACCATACCCTGCTAATTTTGTGAAATTTTTTTTGTAGACAGGATCACACTATGTTGCCCAGGCTGGTCTCAAACTGTTGAGCTCAAGCGATCGTCCTGCCTCAACCTCCCACAGTGCTGGATTACAGGCATGAGCCACCACACCCAGCCTCGGGTTTCTTTTTATTTCGAAGAAAATGTTCTGGAACTATAGAGCATACTAAATGCCACTGAATTGTGCACTTTAAAGGGATTGATTGTATATTTTGGGAATATCGCCTCAAAAACAGATAGATGATTGATGGATAAATTGATACATAGATATATAGATATATAGACATGATATAGATAATTGATCGATAGATGATGGATGATTCATAGGTGCTAAGTGATACATAAAATACATGATAGATACATGGATAGATAGATGAATAGAGAGAGATGATAGATGATTTAAAAAATTTTTTTAGAGATGAGATCTCACTATCTTGCCCAGTCTGGACTTGATCTGCTAGCATCAAGCAGTCCTCCTGCCTCAGCCTCCTGAGTTACTGGGACTACAGGCACCTGCTACTGTGCCTGGTGATAGATAAATTATTGAAAGATAGACATGATAGAGGCATAAATGATAGATAGATTGATAGATATGATAACGGGTAGATAGGAAGATACATGGGATAGATCAATGATTGATTATAGAAGTAAATGATATAGATTAATAGATTATTGATTATAGATTAATAGGTGGATAGCTGATTGATAGATGATTGATCGATTGATTGCTTGACTGATTGATGGAGAGAGACAGAGAAGCAAGCATAGCCATTGCAGCCACTCAGACAAGACATACTGAGGCCTGGAGTTCCAGAAGGTTCGAGCAGTTGGAAGAACTTGACAGGCATGGGGGCAGCTTCTTCAGGGAGTGGAGGGGGCAGCAAGGTACCACCGGGTTCTGGTTGGAAGGTTAGGTGAGCGACAGCACCCTTGGTGGACAGAGGCAGCTCCAAAGGAGGGGAAGGCCTGGGGAGCAGGTGCAGCCCGAGGGGATGGTGGGTAGGCAGTTGGTTCAGAGCTTGGGGCTCCTCAGTGGGACATGGGTCAGCAGGGAGGCCAGTGGTCATTGAAATTTGGATGGAGACAACCTGGCTGAGGGGAGGGGCATGCTTGGCATCTCATTTAGGGGACAGGAGGTAGACTGTTTACCTGTATTTTGAGATTAGGATTTATTCCTGATCCCAGGAGGTGGCCGATTCGGAGGGCTGGGAGTTGTTCCTCCATTTCTGACGATTGTGTAAGTTGCCCATGCTTGATCATAAACCCCTTTTGTTAATTTTTGACACATAGCTGGAATGGCTCTAATTACTAGAGATAGAAGGAGACACATCTGGCAAAGACCATCCAAAAGGAAGCTAGTGGAGAGAAGCTCATATCACACAAAGTAGGCTCCAGGGCAAAATCATTATTAGGATAAAAAGTGGTTGCAGCATACTGATGAGTATTCATTCCAAAGCATTCACTGGTGGGGGAGGGGTGGGGAAAAAGAATAAATACATAAATAATTTAATTATTTTAAAAGAAGTATTAGCGGCCAGGCATGGTGGCTCATGCCTGTAATCCCAGCATTTTGAGAGGCCAAGGCAGGCAGATCACCTGAGGTCAGGAGTTCGAGACCAGCCTGAACAATATGGTGAAACCCCATCTCTACTGCAGTACAAAATTAGCCAGGCATGGTGGCTCATGCCTGTAGTCCCAGCTACTAGAGAGGCTGAGGCAGAACTGCTTGAACCTGGGAGGTGAAGGTTGCAGTGAGCCAAGATCATCCCATTGCACTCCAGCCTGGGCGACAGGAAAAAAAAAAAAGCATTAGCCATTCTGATCTTGTGTGCACCTGCATAATGATAGAGCCTCAAATGACTACAAAACAAAAAAGTGTCAAGAAAAGGAAAAATTAATAAATGAGCACATTCTCCACGCAGGAAATTATACCACTTGTCACTGGAACTGCTGGTTTAAGCAGACTCAATTAGGAAGAACATAGAAAAATTGGGCCAGGCATAGTGTTTCATGCTTGTGATCCCAACACTTTGGGAGGTGAAGGCAGTCAGATTACTTGAGGTCGGGAGTTTGAGACCAGCTTGGCCAACATGCGGAAACTAAAATAAAAAATACAAAAATGAGCCAGATGTGGTGGCTCATGCCTGTAATCCCAGCTACTCGGGTGGCTAAGGCAGGAGAATCACTTGAACTTGAGGTTTCAGTGAGCTGAGATCGTGCCCCTGCACTCCAGCCTGGGCAACAGAGTGAGACTCTGTCAAAATATAAAAATAAAAAAAAAGAATATGAAAAAGTTGAACAAACTTGATTTAGTGGACACCCAAAAACTACAGACCACACATTGTTTTCAAGTTCACCTTGGACATTTACTAACACTCACCATGTCCTAGGCTGCAAAACAAGACTCAACAAATAGCAAAAGAACATGCATCACACCAGCCATTTTCTTGATGCAACAGAATAAAGGCATAAATTGGCAACCAAACTAAAATTAAGGGCTCCCCTATGTTTGGAAATTTAAAGATACACTACTGGCCAGGCACGGTGGCTCACATCTATAATCCCAGAGCTTCGGGAGGCCAAGGCAGGAGGATCCCTTGAGCCCAGGAGTTCAAGACCAGCCTGGGCAACATAGTGAGACCCCCCCATCTCTATAAAACTAAATTAAATTATTTTTTAAATTAAAAAAATAAAAAATAATGCACTGGTCCGAGAAGAATTAGAATGAAAATCTAAAAGCATTTAGAACCGAACAATGAAAACTATGTACAAAACTTAAGCCATGTAGCCCAAGCAGTACTACAAGGAAATTAAAAAAAAAAAAATAGTGTGGCCAGGCGCGGTGGCTCACGCCTGTAATCCCAACACCTCAGGAGGCCAAGACGAGCGGATCACCTGAGGTCAGGAGTTAGAGACCATCCTGGCCAACATTACGAAACCCCATCTCTAATAAAAATACAAAAATTAGCTGGGCATGGTGGTGAGCACCTGTAATCCCAGCTACCTGGGAGGCTGAGGCAGGAGAATTGCTTGAAACTGGAAGGTGGAGGTCGCATTGAGCCGAGATCGTACCGCTGCACTCCAGCCTGGGCGAGAAGAGTGAAACTCCACCTCAAAAAAAAAAAGTGTAAAAAATAGAAATAATATTATGAAGTACAGAGGGATCTCCCTGCAGGCACCACTGGGAGCTGAAACATCAGAGGCACCTGGGGGGTGAAAGACATGAGTGGGAACAACTTCAGCCCTTGCTTCTCCTCCAAACACCGCTAAAAGGAATGCGAAGGGATTGCAGATGTAAAAGGGAAGAGTTCACAGCAGAGAGTGAGAGGAGCGCCTGCCAGGAACATCACAGAAGCTGGAAAACAAGTGGGGGAGTGATAACTGATTCAAGGGATCAGCGTGAACTTGGAAAAAAGTGGTGGGAAGCACCAAGGGCACGTGCCTACAGAGGTTACCACCCAGAAGAGAGGCCTTGGAAGAAACCAACCCTGCTGGCACCATGATCCTGGGCTTCCAAGCTGCAGGACTGTCAGACCATTACGGTGTTGGACCGACACTGTAAAGAAAGAAGTAGTGATAGCACACATGGTTGTCTTGCTCCAGTTCTAAAAGGGGGAAGGATGCCAGATGTGGTGGTCTCCAGAAGGCCCTTCCATGTTTCTCTGTGGCACCCGCAGTGCCTGGATGTCAGCACTGGGAGAAACCGCCTCCAGATTCATCTGTAAAATCCGAGCATCAGTGAGCTCAACTCTCCCGCTTTCTCAGCTCTCTGTTTCCATTAGGTTTGGTTGATCTGGGTCAGGGCCAGCATCAGAGGTAAACCCAAAGCTGTTCTCTGTGGACTGACCTCTTCTCCCTTCGTTTACATGTCTGCCATGTCCACTGGCCTGTGAGCTTCAGGAGACAAAGGAGCATGTTTCTTCTTCCTGATACCCCCGAAATTTGCACAGTACATGCTATAAAATGCAGATTCAATGAGGGCTCTTTGCATTACAATTTTGAGAAAGAATCATGAACCATGATTTAGCGTCTCTTCCCATCAAAACCCAGGCCCATAGAGCAATTGCCTTTACCTGTGACACACACCTCCTACCTGTCCTCCCCGCAGCCCGGCATCTCTGTCCTGCAGACCAAACACAAAACTCATTGCCATCCCTCTTCAACCTGGCTTCCTTTCTGACTTCCCTTCAGGTGCCCCAGGCAGAATCATGGGGATCATCTGACCCTCTGTCTCCCTCATCCTTCCCTATCCCACGAGCCCGTGTCCTACTGACTCAGTCCTTAAAGTCCCTCTGGCTCCCCACCGGATCCTCAGTGTCTGGTACTACGGTGCCTGACGTGGGAGGTACACAGCGACCACTAGATGAATACAAGAATGATGTGATTGGCCAGGTGCAGTGGCTCATGCCTGTAATCCCAGCACTTTGGGAGGCCGAGGCAGGCGGATCACGAGGTCAGGAGATTGAGACCATCCTGGCTAACAGGGTGAAACCCCGTATCTACTAAAAATACAATTCTGGTCATGCGCAGGTACTATTCATCAAGAAAGTTATTACAACTTCAGAAATGTGTTCAAAATGTATCCATACTTTGACATATTAATGAAGTAATCACATTCTACACAAAACTACTCCATATGGAATATTGGGGAGGGGGTGTTCCAAATAAAGAGACTGAGGATTTCTCATGAGAACTCAGTGTCTGCTAGAAAATATCTAAGTAAAATATTCTACTTATGCAGAAAGTGTGGATGTTTGTGCATCAAAAGTTTCAAGAATCCCTAAAATGTACAATGGAGATGAGGAGAAAATATCAGAATTTCCTAGCACCAGAAATGAGGCAAGAAAAAATTCAGAGGATTTGTAAATGTGAAAAGCCAATGGCTGGTCACACAGCAACATTGATAACCTTGTGCCAGGACAACTAGAATAAATACATAAACATACAGATTGAAAATATTTCCAATATTAGATCTCCCTCATGTGAGAACTAAATTATAAAGATTGAAGCATATAAGAAAATAAGCTACCAGAATTTAGGCTACCAGAATAAATTCGATTACACATAAATTTCTGACACTGAAATTGTCACAAATGTTTAAGTTGGTAGTGGAAGACAAAGGACATATAATCTTGGGAGTCCTAGGGCCCTGCCCACTGCCAGTACCTCCATGCTACTACAGCTGATGCTTTCCGGAAAGCACCACCTCCTGGCAGTAGGCCAACCAGCACAAATATAGAGCATTAAACCACTAAGGCTAAGGACCCTCACAGAGTCTACTGCACCCTTCATCACATCCACTGGAACAGGCGCTGGTATCCATGGCTGAGAGAACCATAGATGGTTCACATCACAGGGCTCTATGCAGACAACCCCTAGTACCAGCCCAAAGCCAGGTAGACCTGCTGGGTGGCTAGACCCAGAAGAGAGACAACAATCAATGCACTTCAGCTCACAGGAAGCCATGACCATAGGAAAAGGGGGAGAGTACTACATCAAGGGAACACTCCGTGCGACAAGAGTCTGAACAACAGTCTTCAGCCCTAGACCTTTCCTCTGACAGTGTCTACCAAAATGAGAAGGAACCAGAAAACCAACCCCGGTAATCTGACAAAACAAGACTCTTCAACACCCCCCAAAGAATCACACCAGTTCATCACCAATGGATCCAAACAAAGAAGAAATCACTGATTTATCTGAAAAAGAATTCAGGTTAGTTATTAAACTAATCAGGGAGGGGCCAGAGAAAGGTGAAGCCCAATGCCAGAAAATCCAAAAAATAATACAATAAGTGAAGGGAGAAACATTCAAGGAAATAGATAGCTTAAATTAAAAAAAAAATCAGGGCCCCGCCGCCCCATCTGGGATGTGAGGAGCGCCTCTGCCCGGCCACCCCATCTGAGAAGTGAGGAGCCCCTCCGCCCGGCAGCTACCCCGTCTGAGAAGTCAGGAGCCTCTCCGCCTGGCAGCCACCCCATCTGGGAAGTGAGGAGCGTCTCCGCCTGGCAGTCACCCTGTCCGGGAGGGAGGTGGGGGGGGTCAGCCCCCCGCCCGGGCAGCCGCCCCATCTGGGAGGGAGGTGGGGGTCAGCCCCCCACCCGGCCAGCCGCCCCGTCCGGGAGGGAGGTGGGGGAGTCAGCCCCCCGCCCGGCCAGCCGCCCTGTCCGGGAGGGAGGTGGGGGGGTCAGTCCCCCACCCGCCAGCCGCCCCGTCCGGGAGGGAGGTGGGGGTGTCAGCCCCCCACCTGGCCAGCCGCCCCGTCTGGGACGTGAGGGGTGCCTCTGCCCGGCTGCCCCTACTGGGAAGTGAGGAGCCCCTCTGCCCGGCCAGCCGCCCCATCCGGGAGGGAGGTGGGGGGGTCAGCCCCCCGCCCGGCCAGCCGCCCTGTCCGGGAGGGAGGTGGGCGGGTCAGCCCCCCGCCCAGCCAGCCGCCCCGTCCGGGAGAGAGGTGGGCGGGTCAGCCCCCCGCCCGGCCAGCTGCCCCGTCTGGGAGGTGAGGGGCGCCTCTGCCCGGCCGCCCCTACTGGGAAGTGAGGAGCCCCTCTGCCCGGCCACCACCCCATCTGGGAGGTGTGCCCAACAGCTCATTGAGAACGGGCCAGGATGACAATGGTGGCTTTGTGGAATAGAAAGGTGGGAAAGGGGGGGAAAAGATTGAGAAATCGGATGGTTGCCGTGTCTGTGTAGAAAGAAGTAGACATGGGAGACTTTTCATTTTGTTCTGCACTAAGAAAAATTCTTCTGCCTTGGGATCTTGTTGATCTGTGACCTTACCCCCAACCTTGTGCTCTCTGAAACGCTGTGTCCACTCAGGGTTAAATGGATTAAGGGCGGTGCAAGATGTGCTTTGTTAAACAGATGCTTGAAGGCAGCATGCTCGTTAAGAGTCATCACCACTCCCTAATCTCAAGTAATCAGGGACACAAACACTGCGGAAGGCCGCAGGGTCCTCTACCTAGGAAAACCGGAGACCTTTGTTCACTTGTTTATCTGCTGACCTTCCCTCCACGATTGTCCCATGACCCTGCCAAATCCCCCTCTGTGAGAAACACCCAAGTATTATCAAAAAAAAAAAAAAAAAAAAAAAATCAGGAAACTTTGGACACACTTTTAGAAATGTGAAATGCTCTGGAAAGTCTCAGCAATAGAATTGAACAAGTAGAAGAAAGAAATTCAGAATTCGAAGACAAGTTCTTTGATTTAACCCAATCCAATAAAGACAAAGAAAAAAGAATAAGAAAATATGAGCAAAGCCTCCAAGGAGTCTGGCATTCTGTTAAACGATGAAACCTAAGACTAATTGGTGTACCTGAGGAAGAAGTGAATTCTAAAAGCCAGGAAAACATATTTGGGGGAATAATCAATGAAAATTTCCATGGCCTTGTGAGAGACCTAGACATCCAAATACAAGAAGCACAAATAACACCTGGGAAATTCATCACAAAAAGATCTTAGCCTAGGTACATTGTGATTAGGTTATCCAAAGTTAAGACAAAGGAAAGAATCTTAAGAGCTGTGAGACAGAAGCACTAGGTAACCTATAAAGGAAGATCTATCAAACTAACAGCAGATTTTGCAGCAGAAACCTTACAAGCTAGATGGAATTGGGGTCCTTTCTTCAGCCTCCTCAAACAAAACAATTATCAGCCAAGAATTTTGTATCCAGCAAAACTAAACATCACATATGAAGGAAAGATACAGTCATTTTCAGACAAACAAATGCTGACAGAATTTGCCATTACCAAACCAGCACTGTAAAAACTGCTAAAAGGAGCTCTAAATCATGAAACAAATCCTGGAAACACATCAAAACAGAACTTCATTAAAGCATAAATCACACAAGACCTATAAAACAAAAATACAAGTTAAAAAGCAAAAACAGAAAACAAAAACAATGTACAGAGGCAACAAAGAGCATGATGAAAGCAATGGTACCTCACTTTTTAATAGTAATGTTGGTTGTAAATGGCTTAAATGCTCCACTTACAAGATACAGAACCACAGAATGGATAAGAACTCACCAACTAACTATCTGCTGCCTTCAGGAGACTCACCTAACACATAACAACTTACATAAACTTAAGGAAAGTAGTAGAAAAAGGCATTTCATGCAAATGGACACCAAAAGTGAGCAGCAGAAGCTATTCTCATATGAGAAAAAACAAACTTTAAAGCAACAGTAGCTAAAAGAGACAAAGACAGACAGTATATAATGGTAAAGGCCTCATCCAACAGAAAAATATGACAATCCTAAACATACATGAACCTAATACTGGAGCTCCCAAATTTATAAAACAATTATTAGTAGATATAAGAAATAAGATAGACAGCAACACAATAATAGTGGGGGCCTTCAATACTCCACTGACAGCACTAGACAGGTCATCAACACAGAAAGTCAACAAGGAAACACTGGATTTAAACCACAGAATGCACATTGTATTCCACAGCACGTGGAATTTTCTCCAAGATAGACCATATGATAGGCCATAAAACGAGTCTCAATAAATTTAAGAAAATTGAAATTGTATCACGCACTCTCTCAGATCACAGTGGAATAAAACTGAAAATCAACTCCAAAAGGAATCTTCAAAACCATGCAAATACATGGAAATTAAATAACCTGCTCCTGAATGAGCATTGGGTGAAAAATGAAATCAAGATGGAAATGTAAAAAATTTCTTTGAACTGGATGACACAACCTATCAAGACCTCTGGGAGACAGCAAAGGCAGTGCGAAGAGGAAAGTTTGTAGCTCTAAACACCTACGTCAAAAAGTCTGAAAGAGCACAGACAATCTAAGTTCACATCTCAGGGAACTAGAGAAGCAGGAACAAGCCAAACCCAATCCCAGCAAACAAAGGAAATAACCAAGATCAGAGCAGAACTAAATGAAATTGACACAACAACAACAACAAAAAAATACAAAACATAAATAAAACAAAAAGTTGGTTATTTGAAAAGATAAATAAAATTGATAGACCGTTAGCAAGATTAACCAAGAAAAGAAGAGAGAAAATCCAAATAACCTCACTAAGAAATGAAACAGGGGATATTACAACTGACACTACTGAAATATTAAAGATTATTCAAGGGTACTATGAACACCTTTTGGCACATAAACTAGAAAACCTAGGAGAGTTGGATAAATTCCTGGAAAAATACAACCCTCCTAGCTTAATCAGGAAGAAGTAGATACCCCAAGCAGACCAATAAAGCAAGCAGCAAGATCGAAATGGTAATATTCAAATTACCAACAAAAAAAGCCCAGGACTAGACAGATTCACAGCAGAATTCTACCAGACATTCAAAGAATGTCTTCTTTCATTCAAAGAAGAAATGATACCTATCCTTTCACACTATTCCACAAGACAGAGGAAGAAGAAACCCTCCCTGATTCATTTATGAAGCCAGCATCACCCTAATACCAAAACCATGAAATGACATAACCAAAAAAGAAAACTACAGACCAACACCCTTGATGAACGCAGATGCCAAAATCCTTAACAAAATACTATCTAACTGAATCCAACAACATATCAAAAAGATAATCCACCATGATCAAGTGGGTTTCATACCAGTGATACAGGAATGGTTTAACATACGCAAGTCAATAAATGTGATACACCAAATAAACAGAATTAAAAAAAACTCACATGATTATATCAACAGATGCAGAAAAAGCATTCGACAAAATCTAGCATTGCTTTATGATTAAAGCTCTCAGCAAAATGGGCATACAAGGGACATACCTTAATGTAATAAAAGCCATCTGTGACAAACCCACAGCCAACATAATACTGAATGGGGAAAAGGTGAAAGTATTCCCTTTGAGAACTGGAACAAGATGAGGAGCCTACTCTCACCACTCCTCTTCAACATACTACTGTAAGTCCTAGCCAGAGCAATCAGACGAAAGAAGTAAATAGAGGAAATCCAAATTGGTAAAGAGGAAGTCAAACTGTCACTGTTTGCTGACGATATGATCTTTCGCCTTGAAAACCCTATGGACTCCTCTAGAAAGCTCCTAGAACTGATAAAAGAATTCAGCAAAGTTTCCAGATACAAGATTAATGTACACAAATCAGTAGCTCTTCTATGCATCAACAGCTACCAAGCAGAGAATCACATCAAGAACTCAACCCCTTTTACAATAGCTGCAAAAAACAAAAAACAAACAAACAAAAAAAACTTAGGAATATACCTAACAAAGGAATCAAAAGACCTCTACAATGAAAATTACAAAACACTGCTGAAAGAAATCACAGATGGAGCCAAGCACGGTGGCGCATGCCTATAATCCCAGCTACTCGGGAAGCTGAGGCAGGAGAATTGCTTGAACCCAGGAGACAGAAGTTGTAGTGAGCTGAGATCACACCATTGCACTCCCACCTCAGCAACAAGAGCGAAACTCCCTCTGAAAAAAAAAAAAGACCAAGAAAGAAAAGAAATCATAGATGACACAAACAAATGGAAACACATCCCCATGCTCATGGTTGGGTAGAACCAATATTGTGAAAATTACCATTCTGTTAAAGGCAATCTACAAATTCAATGCAATCCCCATCTGAAAACCATCATCATTCTTCAAAGAATTACAAAAACAATTCTAAAATTAATATGGAACCAAAAGAGAGCCATGTAGCCCAACCAAGGCTAAGCAAAAAGAACAAACCTGGAGGCATCACACTACTTGATTTCAAACTGTACAATATGGCCATAGTTACCAAAACAGCATGGTACTGGTTTAAAAATAGGCACATAGACCAATGGAACAGAAGAAGAGAACCCAGAAATTAACCCAAATACTTACAGCCAACTGATCTTCGACAAAGTAAACAAAAACATAAAGTGGGGAAAGGACACCCTTTTCAACACATGATGTTGGGATAATTGGTGAGCCACATGTAGGGGAGTAAAACTGGATTCTCATCTCTCACCTTATACAAAAATCTACTCAAGATGGATTAAGAACTTAAACCTAATTCCTGAACTATAAAAATTCTAGAAGGTAACACTGGATAAACCCTTCTAGACATTGGCATAGGCAAGGATTTCATGACCAAGAACCCAAATGCAAATGCAATAAAAACAAAGCTAAATAGCTGGGACTTAATTAAACTAAATAGCTTTTGCATGGCAAAGGGAACAGTCAGCAGAGTAAATAGACAACTATCAGAGTGGGAACCCTGACCCCTAACCCCTGACCCTGACCCCTAACCCCTGACCCTGACCACTAACCCCTGACCATAACCCTAACCCCTAACCCTAACCCTTAACCTTAACCCTAAGCCCTAACTCCAACCCTCACCCTCACCCTAACCCAACCCTAACCCCTAATCCCTAACCCCTAACCTCTCTTAACCCCTAACTCTAAACGTTGACTCCTAACCCCTAACTCTGACCCCAACTTCTATCTCCAACCCCTAACCCTAAACTTAACCCCTAACCCCTAACCCTAACATCAACCTTAAACCTAGGTTCGTTACTACGTTTGTATTGACTATGTCAATGTTGATTATTATGATTGCTGTCTTAGGACTGCATGGCAGCGAGGGGATTGTGGATCTTATATTAATGTTTTTGTGTCGAGGCAGTGCATTAGCACTACAGGTGCTTGTTACATGAGCAATGGGGGTGTCATATTTTGAGTGTCATGTCTGCATTAGGAATGCTGCATTTGTCTTCTGAGACTGCGGTGTGGATCTCGCACTGCGGCCGCCTCGCCTTGGCAGGGGAGAACTTCGGTGGGCAGGATTCAGAGGGGCTTTTGGTTTCCCGTTTTCCACACTGAACCCTTCTAACTGGTCTCTGACCCTGATTATTCAGGGCTGCAAACAGGAAGGATTTTATTCACCGTCGATGCGGCCCCGAGTTGTCCCAAAGCGAGGCAGTGCCCCCAAGGTCTGTGCTGAGGAGAATGCTGCTCTGCCTTCGTGGTGGTTCCCCGGGTCTGTGCTGAGCAGAACACACCTCATCCTGTGCTGAGGAGAACGCAGCTCCGCCCTCCCAAAGGCACATGGCGACCGCGCAGGGCGCCGAAAGGCGCACCCGAACCCGAATCCTAAACCTAACGCTGTCCTAAGAGCCCTGGGGAGACCTTAGGGAACAAGCATTAAACTGACACTCGAGTCTGTAGCCGGCTCTGCCAAAAGACTTGGGGTTGGGGTGATACGAGGGCAGGGGTCAGGGAAGAAAGCGTTCTGGTTTTAGACCCACAGGAAGATCTGTGAAGTGCACTTGGGTAGAGCACATGTTGCCTGGCGTGCGCTTGAAAAGAGCCTAAGAAGAGGGGGCGTCTGGAAGGAACGGCAACGCCAAGGGAGGGTGTCCAGCCTTCCCGCTTCAACTCCTGGACACATTCCGGAAAGTTTCCTCAGAAAGCCAGAAAAATAATAATAATAAAAAAAAAATCCAGAGGGCGGGGGGTGGAGGTGGGGCTAATGGGGCTTTACTGGGACTATCTGTCTTAATCCTCCAAACAAAGCTGCCATAGCAGCCCATCAGTCCTCTGAGACAGGTGAGGAACCTGAGGTCACAGGAGGACACCCAGAAGGTCCAAGCAGAGCCCCCTAGGCCCCCCACACCTCCCCCCGTGGCATCTCCAACCCCAGCTTTTTCACTAGTAAGGAACACCGGCTGCTGGGCTACGCCCACTCCCCCAAGCGGGAGTTTGATAAAAAAAAAAACTGTTAATTATTATTACCTATATCTGGATGGGTTATGAGTGAATTTTTTTAAATTTATTTTTATTTATTCTTTATTTATTTTTGCGGGGACAGAGTCTTGCTCTGTCACTCAGGCTGGAGTGCGATGGCATGATCTCAGCTTACTGCAACCTCCACCTCCTGGGTTCAAGGAATTCTCCCACCTCAGCCTCCCAAGTACCCGAGACACAGGCGTATGCCACCACGCCCAGCTAACTTTTGTATTTTTAGTTAGAGATGGGGTTTTGCCATGTTGGCCAGACTAGTCTTGAACTCCTGATGTCAAGTGATTTGTCCATCTCTGCCTCCGAAAGTGTTGGGATTACCGGCATAAGCTACCGCACCCAGCCTAAAATATATTTTTGTTTTCAAAAATTGTGTGGTATGCATGAGTTTTATAGCAAGAAAAAATTATAACTTATTTTGAATTAAATTCCATTGTTTTAAAATTAAGCAATAGCTGAGCTCGAATTTTAAGCTCCACAAATGACCAAGAACTTCTTTGATTCCCTTTTAAACCTGTTGTCTGTTTTAATCACTCATATGGAATCATTCATAGGTTTTTACTTAAAATCTAAACCAAATAATGAAGTAACTGTTTAAATTGTTAGATTTTGAATATGGTTCAGTTGGATGTAAAATGTAACTATTACTCAGGAAAACGATATGATTTTTTTTAGCAAGTGATATTCTTTCTTTCTGAGAGCATTTCACAAATGTTTCTACCTAATGAATCATATTTTAAAAATAACACTTGTAATTCTTTTTTCTTTTTAGTTTCCTGCCTGGGATGGTTCACATAATAAACACAATGAATTGACAGGAGATAATGTGGGTCCACTAATACTGAAAAAGAAAGAAGTATAATAATAATATTATAACAATGTTTTCTCATTCTTTGTGTACAGAAAATTTTAAAATGGTGGTCTTAATTATTACTACTGGTTGAACAATTATTTCTTCCAATTTATTTTCTTCCTGCACTACTGTTTGTATTTGATCCTTTGTCTATTCAGTCACTTAATTAGAAATTAAATTGTCAAGCCTCTTATTCTGACTTCAAAGAATTAATGTATCTTCCAATAATAAAATCACTTCTGATTTTAATTTAGGAAAACCTAAATTGTGGCTATGGATCCAAAGCTGTTTGTTTATTTGAATATCAATATTTTCAACAGGATCTTGTATTTAAAATTTCTGCCTACATTGTTAAATGTTATTTTTTCATATCTCTTTTGGTTTTGATAATCTGAAGTGTTTTTTTCTCCTTTTGGCCTTCCAAACTGCATTTGTTTAGGTGAATTAAGAAAAATATTGCCATCAAGAATTACTTGTGTTTTCACAGAGATAGACTCTTTGCTTTATAGAGATTGTTGGGTATTTAATATGAATATCCCAGCTTTAGAAAAGAAGTAAACTGGATACAAAAAGTTCCATTGAGGAACAGTTATTTACAGTATAAAAGATTTGTTTACTTTACAAAAGGCTTGTGTCTGTTTGTGTGTGTGTATATTTTAAACTGTTTGACTCAGTGACAGCTGGGGTGGAAAGGCAAGAACACTTACAACAAAACTCATGGGCTGCTGCAATTTGAAGATCAATTGGTAATAAATATAAGACATATTAATTCATATTAAAATAGTTCAGTGTTCAAAATTGTGGTTACGTGGACATTTTTCTCTTTTTAACACTATAAACCATTAAAATACAGTCATCCCTTGTATACACTGGGGACTAGTTCCAGGGCCACACATATACCAAAATCTGCCCATACTCAAGTCTCACAGAAAGTCTTGCAGAACCCATATGTAGAAAAGTTGGCCCTCCAATTGACCCTCCATACACATGAGTTTCACATCCCATGCACAAATGCTGATCTGTGTGACCTCACCTGCATTTGATTGAAAAAAGTATGCGCATAAGTGTACCCACCCAGTTCAAACCCATGTGTAAGGGTCAACTGTACAAAAAAGTTTGTGAAATAAACGTACCGGAGAATCTTTAAAATTTTTGTGCTTTTTAATTCTACTATTATGAGTCTTTTTAGTTTCATCTTACATTACTACTCTCATAATAGCTATCCTTAGCCAGGTGCCATGGCACAGTCCTGTAGTCCTAACTGCTGGGAAGATTGAGGTGGGAGGATGGCTGCAGTGCTGGAGCCCAGGAGTTCAAGGCCAGGCTGGGCAAAATAGTGTTCTGCCTCTGCTGGGCTCTGTAGGGAATCCTTTCTGTTCTGAAAGAGTTACCATTTAACCCTCTTCACTGAGTGCATTTCTGAGACCTTGCTAGGCACTATGGAAATTGCTTAGTTGAGAAAAGACAAACACAAAAGCTTTTCTTTAGTCTATTTAAGACACAATTTATTCAGTTCACTTTGCTTTCTTTTTATAAGAAGGTACAAGAGGCAGAGGTAATCCTTCTAGAAATAAAACTAATTGTTATTGAGAACGTGTATGTACCAGACACTACACTAAGCATGGTACTTGGGTTTTTAATTTATTACATGTAATGTCAGTAGGTTCAATTATATGATCAGAACATCTTCATGACCAGCAGCATGTATTTTAGAGTTAGAAATGTAGTCTGGTTTTTGAGAAGTTTTACAAGGTGTATGTCTAAAATTATTGTTCTTTCCTCACATGTCAGTGGGGGATAAATACAGCATTGCTCTCACTTCTTTGACTCTAGGGTATTTTTTTTGGATACATTTTCTTCAACACTGTTAAGGGGCCTCACTGTCAGATTAACCAATTATTTTTCCACAGTTGGTCACCAGACTTTGGAAAAAATCCACCTCACCAAAATTTTGTATATCCTGGTCTGTGGTCATGAAATGCTTTTCTTTTTGTAAAATCTGTCACTGCGTCTCACAGCAACTTGTTTTCACACATGTTCTAGTGGTTCCCATAACTTAGATTTTACAGGAGGTAAATTTACTAAAAATGAGGAGACTAAAATGAATGACCAACTTTGAATTTTGTCAAATAACATTGAAAATGAATTATCTCATAAAAGGTAATTTTAATACCCCAAAAGTAAGATGGTTATACTCTCAGAATAAAGACTTTTTCCCTGCCACATTTTCAGTTGTTAAAATATGCTAAGAGCTATGCCCATATCTTTTCCCACCTGTGCAAATTTTTCAGAAGCCTAGGGTTGGTAGTAAGCTGTTTCTTTAATAACTCTTTTAAATAAGCATTATTAGCAGTTTCCATTACTTCTTGTAAATTTACACAATTTTATCTTGTCCATCTTTAAAAAATAGACATCTAATAACCAAATGTATTTGAATTGATACAGTATAAGTAACTTGTAGAACTTGAGGATAAGTGGTAAAGGAAAAAAAAAAGTAACTTGGCTCTTGAAATATGTCTTGGGTTTCTAGAGCCTTCAAAATACAGCCCTGTTGTTACTGTGTCACATTATGATTGTTTTGAGGGCTACTTCTGCTTACCTAGGAAACTACTCATGCCTTACTCAGCAAATGAGCACCACCATTACATAAACATCAGGTATCCAAAAGTGTTAGCAGGCTTGAGGTATGAATGATTCATTCATATGGGTAATTAAGCAAGTTGAATTATGGAAAGCACCTCACAATTCACACAATTCAGCTTTGAGTTCAATGCCAAATATGATGATTCATTAAGTTGCCTTTGTATTTTGTAACCTAATTTGTTAATAAGTTACAGGAAGCCAATTAAGCCAGCTGCTGATCTATATAGTACTACCTTCCTCATTGTGATTCCATAGTCTTCCAATAGAAATGTCCTATCAGAATCTGTATAAAGAGTTTGTAAATTCCACTATTTAACAAGGTTCTTAAGAATTTAGGTGGATGTTTTATTTGATACCTACCAAAGAAACTTAACTAATTGTATAACACTTAACCCATTTAGAATTCAGTTGTGGCAGCATCACCAATCTGGAGAGACAAGGGGAGATGTTACTAATGCTTGTACTTTATTCAGAAGTGAGTGCCTCATTGGCTTGGTGCAGTGACTACACACCTGTAATCTCAGCAATTTGGGAGGCTGAGGTGGGTGGAGTACTTGATCTCAGGAGTTCCATACCAGCCTGGGCAACATGGTGAGATCTCATCTCTACAAAAAAATACAAAAATTAACCGGGCACCTGGCACACGCGTAGTCCCAGTTACTCGGGAGGCTGAGGCACAAGAATCTCTTGAGTTGAGGAGGCCAAGGTTGCAGTGAGCCAAGATTGTGCCACTGCACTCCAGCCTGGGCAACAGGAGTGAAACCCTATCTTAAAAAAAAAAAAGTCTTTTTTTCTTCATCTAATCCAATTTATTGGGGCAGAAATCAGTATGAAGTTCATAGGACAGGAGGAAACCAATATAAACATCTCAGCATTGTAGGAAATTTAACCCATGGAAAGCAGGGCTGAATTAAAGACCACATTGAAGGCCAGGAAAAGCAGATAATTTAGATATAGTCAAAGTATGAAATCATTGATAGATCCAGAACAAGGGAATGATGTATGTGTTTACATATTAGATCTACTTTATTAACAATTTTCCCTCTGTTAAACTAATATTGACTAATAGTAGTCTAGGTAAGTCAAGCTCAAATTAAATGGTAATTGAAAAGTCTTCTTTTTAAAAAATTTTTAATGGTAGAGGCAGCAGCTACCCAGAGTCTACTTATTCTTACTTCACATTGAATTCTATCAAGTTAGGTTATCTGATTTCTGCTTCCTAACAAATCACAAGTATCGAAAGGGTCTTGCAGAAGGGGTGAACTATAAAATGTGACAGCTGACAGCAAGGCAGGGGAACAAAAATAAATTTAAGGTGAATATTAAAAGCATAGCAGCTTGAGACAATTTATAGGATTCTGCATACAACTGTCTCTGAGGACATCACTGTGATCAAATTATACAAGTGATGTTTAGTGATGAATTGGAATCAAGATAAGTAGTGTGTGTTATTTAAAAAGGCAGGATATGTGTTGCATTCGGTGGCAACAATTTCCCCTTAGCTATTTAGTTAAAAGCTTAGTGCTTAACATGTTGGAAAATTAATGCTTAAAATATATTGACTTATTCCTTGATGATTGGAGGTTTTATCACAGGAAGTTTTCCCATTCAATTGAAACATTTTTCAAGCTTAATGACTATAATTTACAACATAATTTATTTTGTTAAAGTTTGAGGAAAACTAAATAAAGAAGTAGCAATTCAAGTCATAATAAATTTTGTTAGATGACTTCTTCCACTTTAGGGGGAATTAAAAATCTTGTTTAAAAACCACATGTGCAGCAGTTCTGTGACTGCCTCAACACCTAGTTGGCCATATAGTCCCTTTGCACCACAGAGGTTGGAGTATAGAATATGCCCAAAGCTGTTTTGTTTTGTTTTAACTATGCTGCATCATCTGAGGTTGTGTTAACATAGTTTGTCCTAATAGTCCTTTACTAGAAAGTTGCTATATTTGATTATGTTCAGCAAGTAAACTAATTTTATCTACTTTCATATATTTTGAGACAAAGTCTGGCCCTGTCACCCAGGCTGGAGTGCAGGGGCGTGATCTTACCTCACCGCAGCCTCAGCCTCTTGTGCTCAAGTGATCCTCCCACCTCAGCCTCCCAAGCAGCTGAGACTACAGTCATGCTTCATCATGCCCGGCTAATTTTTTACTTTTCTAAGAGACAGAGTCTCACTATGTTACCCAGGCTGGTCTCGAAGTCCTGGACTCAAGTGATCCTCCCTGCCTCAGCACTCCCAAAGTGCTGGGATTGCAGGTGTGAGCAACCATGCCTGGTGTTTTATCTTTTGCAGAAATCCAATTTAGTAAAGTCATGTTGTAGCAAGCATCATTTTCATATAAAAAGTGTACAGTTCATATTATTAGCAAATGTATTGTGTAATTTTATATTACTTATGGTCTTCAAGGACATTGAAAATCTGTTCAGAAAGACTGTGTTTTTCAACCAGAGATGACATCACTCTAACTTTCCTTTGGTTTAAATGCTTGATTCTTTGCTTACAAAATTTCTGTTTTGAACAATTATGGTGAGAAAGTATATTTGTGATACTGTTTTCTTAGAACACTGTTGTCAGACAGATCAGCCATAATGTTAACACATTTCTGATCTCTATTATAAGGCTGTAATTTTCCAAAATAATATAGAAAAGGAGAAAAGGGTAGTACATTTCATAATTACTGAGATGAACCCTGTACTAGTGAGAAAACAAAAATGCCAACTATTTATTAAATTTTCAGATTTCCTGTAATTTTCCATCACTATCCCTCATACACTTCTCTGCATGATCACACTAAAGATATAAATTAATCACATCCATTCAACAAATCAAGAAACTCAAAACTCACAAGTACAATCTTCAACTCTGTAGAAAGCTACCAAGAAGTAAAATAAGATGAAGGTAGAAAGATTCTCTTTGAATCTTTAATTACAGGTGGCTCACACCTGTAATTAATTCCAGCACTTTGAGAGGCCAAGGTGGGCAGATTGCCTAAGGTCAGGAGTTTAAGACCAGCCTGGCTAACATTGTGAAAACTCGTCTCTACAAAAATACAAAAATTAACTGTGCATGATGGCGGATGTCTGTAATCCCAGCTACTCGGGAGGCTGAGGTGGAAGAATCTCTTGAATCCAGGAGGCAGAGGTTGCAGTGTGCCAAGGTCATGCCATTGCATTCCAGCCTGGGCCACAGAGCAAGACTCCATCTCAAAAAAAAAAAAAAAAAGAAAAGAAAAAAGAAAGATTCACTTTGAAATGCTGCATGCAACTATAAGGCCACACATTGGAAAATCTAGAGAAAATGGGTAATTTTATGGAAAAATATAAATGACCAAAACTAATCCAAGAAGAAATTTAAAATGTTAATAGACCAGTTACAAAGAAGAGAATGTAAAGTGATTTTTTAAATCCATAATTTAAAAAGTACTAGGGTTGCAAGAAGGATAATTCCAGTGTTATTTAAAGTATCCCAAATTTTTTTAAAAACAAAAACCAATTCATTTCACATAGGCAGTGCAGCATTAATATGAAAACCTTATAAACATATGAAAAAACTATAGGCCAGGTGCCATGGCTTACACCTGTAATCCCAGCACTTTGGGAAGCCAAGGCAGGTGGATCACTTAAGGTCAGGAGTTCAAGACCAGCCTGGACAATATGGCGAAACCCCGTCTCTACTAAAAATACAAAAATTAGCCCGGCATGGTGGTGCATGTCTATAATCCCAGCTTGAACCCAGGAGGCAGAGGTTGCAGTGAGCCAAGATCACGCCACTGCACTCCAGCCTGGGTGAAAGAGCAAGTCTCTGTCTCAAAACAAAAAAACAAACAAAAAAACCAAAACTATAGACCAATCTGACTTATACATATGAATGAATATTCTAAATAAAAACCCAGCAATTTTATCAATAATTGCAACAACAAAAAAGAGTAATACAGGCCTATGCAAAGAGCATTGTATTTCAGGAATTCACGGGTATTTCAATATCAGTTAAGTATATTAACACAATTACATAATTGACATCAAAGAAGAGGAAAATGTGATTATATCAGTAGATGCCGAGAGGGCTATTGTTAAGATTAAACATCCACTCCTAATGAAGATTCTTGAGTAAAATAGAAATTGAAGGAAAGTGTCTAAACATAACCGTTATTTATGAAATGCCTACAAAACAAGTATTTTAAATCATAAAGGAACATTTCAAATAAAACAAGGAACCAGTAGGAATAGCTGCTGTCATTATTTGTTGTTAAAGATTATCTTGGAGGATCCATGAATGTAACAAGATTTTTAAATGAAATAATCAGTATAAATATATAGAAAACTTTTTGTGGATATGATTATATGCCTAGGAAATCATAGAGATTAGGAAAAACAGAACTTTCAACTATTTTAAAGAGGAATATTGGTAAGGTATTTGGAAATAAGATCATAATACAAAATATATTAGCAATAAGCACCTTGAAATGCTAACGGTAAAAATATTCACAATAACAAAAATAATAAAGGTAAAATAAATTTACCAAGAAAGAAGATCCATAAGAAAAAACTATAAAAATGTTACCAAAAGCTATTGAATAAGAAACACATGAGGCTAGGCGCAGTGGCTCATACCTGTAATCCCAGCACTTTGGGAGGCTGAAGCAGGAGGACTGCTTGAGCCCAGGAGTTCAAGACCAGCTTCGGCAAATTGTGAAACGCTATCTCTAAACAAAGCAAAACAAAACAAAAAACTAATTGGGCTTGGTGCATGCTTATAGAACCAGGTACTTGGGAGGCTGAGGTGGGAGGTTGGGGCTTCAGTGAGCTGAGATCCCACAACTGCACTCCTGCCTGGGTGACAAAGTGAGACCCTGTCTCAAAAAAACAAACAAAACTCTTGTAAAAACATTAATTTCCTAAAATTATATATAAATTCAATTAAATTCACATTAGAATCACAAAAGCATTTTAAAATTGGATTAAATTATCTTAAAGTTCATGTAGAAGAATAGTCAGAAAATTGTACCAAAAAAAAGACTATTGAGAGGAACTTTTCTCACCAGATATCAGCACCTACTATAGAACTATTGGAATTGATCAATTAAGAAAAACAATTGTATTAATTAAGAATAAGCAAGAGTGGTAAAAAACTGAGAATTTACATGTAGATGAAAAATTAATATATGAAAATAAACAATTCAAATAAAACAAAATTGGACCCTCAATTTACACTGAAGTCTTTGAAGTGATACATAAAATGATTTTTAAAATGATTTAAATACGTACATAAATGGAGAGAGGAAGGGTGGGAGAGAAGCGGGAGAGAGAGAAAATAGAAGACTAAAGACAGGAACACCTATGTGGAAAAAGATAACACTTAATGACAAAATATGTTCTATGTGAATATCAGTCATACATAATAAATATGGGGGACATTGCATTGTGGGTTACAGTAAAGCCTTAAGAAACAGAGTAAGTGAACAAAAAAAGAAAAGAAAACTACCAAATTCCATGTATGATACCCCGTTTTGAAATTACATAAATTAAACATGTGTACACATAAGAAAATTTTAAACATTAAAATTTTGTTAACAAAATGGATTTGATAACACGAAGGCCATTGATGACCTTACCCACAGCAGCTTTGTTTAAATGGGGATTAAGGATGGAGCAAAATTTTTATTAGAACACTTTGAATAATGAGTTAGCAAACTACAATAAACTGAAATCTTACCTACCAAATAATCTCAGTAAAGTAAACAAATCTAAAAGAAATGAATAAAACAATTGTGAGCAAAAAAGGATAGAGTCACTGCATATAATGTAAATGAGACAAGGATGGCCTCTGTGTATTGGCGCCTAGGTTATTTCTTCACAGCAAGCTGAAACCCATTAGCTCAAAAACCAACTGGCACCAAACTCAAATTTTTAAACATCCAATTGTGTTAAACATAGCCCAGACATGCAGATTTGTAGGCATTTAGATCCTGCCTGATTTACATGCCCTGGGAAACTACGTCCAAAATCTGCTTGCCACAGATAAACTCTAGGCTGTAAAGACCCCAAACTGCTTCTGTTATTTGGAACTCTGTGAACTACAGACTCCATGCCATGCTGCTGAGTGATATCACTGAGACATGAAAGCCTCCTCTCTGATCCTTTCCTCCCTCAGGAGTTCCTTTGCCCTCCTCCCCTTCTGAATGGTGGCCCCCTTGTCTCAATCCTCTGGTCCATCTCTTGCTGTGAAGGCCTTCCCCAGGATACAAACCTGACAAGAGATCATCCAGATAAAGCCCATGTGTGCTTCTGTCACATCTTTTTCTATATTTTTCTAATTTTTTTCTAAACTTTTCTAATTTTTTCTTAATTTTTATAAAATTGTGGATACCTAATAATGTAGTCTCAAAATAAATAAAGCCAAAATTAGAATTGGAAAGAGCAATAAAAAAATCTACACAGTGAGAGATTTTAACATTTCATTTTTAGTAATTGAATAAACATAAAATTAGTAAGGCTAATCAACAGTTAAAGAATTTCTATTCTTTTCAAGCACACTTGGAGTATTTACAAAAATTGACCAGATACTAGGCCTAAAGGTAGTATCAAATGTTTACATTGGTATAACTATTGTGTAATAGCACTATTAGAAATCAATAACAAAAACTTATCCAAAAGTAATCCATGAATTTTAGAAACTACAAACAGCTTCCAAATGATTCATGGAAGCAAGAAGAAATTATAATAAAAATTAGAACATGCTTAAAATTGAATTAAAATGAAAAGATTACCGATCAATATATATGTAAAATAACTGAAGCCGTACTTAGAGTGAAATTTACCAGAAGCAATTCACATTCATGGGAAGGACAACAGCATGCATTTAGAGACTTGTCTAAGATGTATATTAGTTCTTTGACTCTCTGTCCTAACGTAGTCCAGAGACCTGAGCTGTCTGGACATTCTGTAGCATGTTACATTTTTCCATTTTATTTACCAGTTAAAATAGACTGGGTAAGAAATAGCATGTTGGATGGCCTAGAGAGACACAAGCAACCCTGAGAGAGAAAATCATCTGAAGATTTAAGGACCTATGACATCAGTCGCAGAAGATTTTAAGGGGCCCATTGGTCCCCCTATACTAAGGAATACTGTTCTGACACATTTGCTGAGTGACACAGAAGGCTTCCACCTTTGACAAAAGCTTAGGGCAGAAAAGGCCTCTGCAGCAGGTCCAGGATCCAGGGCAAGCAGCCCTAGTGTTTGAGCCATAAAATCTAGTAGGCTCTATGGTATTAGAAGTATATGCAGTTGGAAAAAGCACCATGTAGAGTTTATAGCAAACCCTAATAGACGATTCATACATAGTCTTGTGGGGTTCACTAGCATGGTCATGCTATCTGCAAGTAATTGTATATTGTATAAATATATAGCATAATTGTGTACTTTAATAGCTCCTAGCATGCTACTGCACCTAGGTAGAGACGGACTATCTGACAACAAATATTAAGTGACCATGTGGCTAAAAGTTCCCACCGTGAGTTTGGTTTTGTTAGATCTACCAGATCATAAGGACAGGCTGGCCCAGCAACAAATCATAATAAAATAGAAGTACCACATTGAATTAGTCCATTTTCACATTGCTATAAAGAACTACCCAAGACTGGGTGATTAATAAACAAAAGAGGTTTATTGACTCACAATTCCGTATGGCTGGAGAGGTCTCAGGAAACTTACACTTATGACTAAAGGCAAAGGTGAAGCAGGCACCTTCTTCACAAGGCAGCAAGAGAGACAGAAAGCAAGGGGGGATGTGCCAAACACTTTTAAACCATCTGCTCTCATGAGAACTCACTCAATATCATGAGAACAGCATGAGGGAAACTGCCCCCATGATCCAGTCACTTCCCACCCAGTCCCTCTCTCTACATGTGGGGATTATAATTTGAGATGAGATTTTGTGGGGACACAGAGCCAAACCATATCACATCAAGGATTGGGCATGAGAAAGACTAGAGGACACAAGTAAGCAGTATGATCAGGTGATCCAGGTCCCCACATTATCCAAATTGTGACACTAGATTCTCTCCCTCAGCTGGCAACTCTGCCTATGTGGGAGTTCCAATATTGCTAAAGGAGGAAAAAAGCTAAGCTTGTTCATTGGAAGATCAACTCAGGATGCAGATGTAAGTAAAATATGATAGCAGCCTACTTCAGCTATGGAAAGATAGCAGTAGATTAAATCCTCCCAAGGACGGTTCAACATATATTGAATCAATAAATGTGATATACACATTAACAGAATGAAGGACAAAAACTATATGAATATCTCCATGGATGCAGAGAAAGCATTTGGCAAAATTCAACATCTTTCTGTAATAAAAACTTTCAACAAATTAGGTATCAATGTCCACATAACACAATAAAGGCACATATGATAGGCCCACAGCTAACATCATACTCAATGGTAAAAAGTTGAAAGCTTTTTCTCTAAGATCAGAAACAAGATGGATGCCCATTTTCACCACTTCTATTCAAGTTCTAGCAATTAGTCAAGAAGAAGAAATAAAGGCATTAAAGTCAGAAAGGAAGAAGTGAAATTGTCTCTGCAGACAACATGATCTTAAATGTAGAAAACCCTAAAGAGTCCACCAAAAAAAACCGTTGGAACTAGAAAATTAATTCAGTAAAGTTGCAGGATGCAAAATCAACATAAAAAAACGAGTAGCATCTGTATACACTAACAATGAACTATCTGAAAAAGAAATCAAGAAAACAATTTCATTTATAATGGCTACACAAATACTTAGGAATTAATTTAACCAAGGAGGTGAAAGACCTGTACACTGAAAACTATAAAACATTGGTGAAAGAAATTGAAGAAGACACAAATAAATGGAAATATATCCCATCTTCATGGATTAGAAGAATTCATACTGTTAAAATGTTCTTAGTACCCAAAGTGATCTACAGATTCAATGTAATCTCTATCAAAATTCCAATGATATTTTTTATGTAAACAGAAAAAAGTCCCCAAATTCATGTGAAACCACAAAAAACTCCAAATAGCAAATTGTGAGCAAAAAGAACAAAGTAGGAGGCATCACATTATCCAGTTTCAAACTATACTATGATGCTATAGTAATCAAAAATATAACATGATACTGGCATACAAACAGACTGGTAGACCAATGGAATAGAATACATCCACGTTTATGGTCAATTGATTTTCAGTAAATATGCCAAGAATACACAATGGGGAAAGGATAATCTTTTCCATAAATGGTGTTGGGAGAACTCCACATGCAGAGAAATGAAATTAGACCCTTATCTCACACCATATACAAAAAAATAACACAAATGGACTAAAGACTTAAATATAAAACCTGAAACCATAAAACTACTAGAAGAAAACATACAGGAAAAGTTCCATGAGACTGGTCTGGGCAATGATTTTCTGGATATGACCCCCAAAGCACAGGCAACAAAAGCAAAAATAGACAAACAGGATTATATCAAACTAAAAAGCTGTGCAAGCAAAGGGAGCAATCAATAGAGTAAAGAGATAGCCTACAAAAAGGGAGAAAATATTTGCAAACCATACATCTGATAAAGGATTAATATCCAGAATATATAAAGTATTCATACAACTCAATAGCATGAAAACATATAACCTGATTAATGAAAGGGAGGCAAAGTACCTGAATAAACATTTTTCCAAAGAAGACATACAAATGACCAACAGGAATATAAAAAAATAACCAACATCACCAGTCATCAGGGAAACCCAAATCCAAACCACAATGAGACATCCCTTTTAGAATGGCTACTATGAAAAAGACAAAAGATAACGTGTTGGCGAGGATGTGGAGAAAAGGGAGCCTTTGTATACTGTTGGCAGGAATGTAAATTAGTACAGCCATTATGAAAAATAATATAGAGGTTTCTCAGAAAGTTAAAAATAAAACTACCATATGATGCAGCAATCCTAATACTATTTATACCCAAAGAAAATGATTCAATATGTCAAAGAAAAATCTGTACCTCATGTTCATTGCAACATTATTCACAATAGACAAGATATGAAATCAACCTAAGTATCCTTTAACAGATGAACGATTAAAGAAAATGTGGTGTATATATACCTAATGAAATATTGTTCAGCCTTAAAGAAGGAAATCCTGTCCTTTGTAATAACATGGATGAAACTGGAGGACATTATATTAAGTGAAATAAGCCAGGCACAGAGAGATAAATGCCATGTAACCTCACTTATATGTGGAATCTAAAAAAGTCAAACACATAGAAGCAGAAAATAGAATAATGGTTATTAGGGGTGGGGGGAGGAGGGTAGAACTGGGGAGATGTTTGTCAAAGGATACAAAAATTAAGATAAGCAGGAAGAACAAGTTCAAGAGACCTATTGTACAACATGGTGACTACAGTTAATAACAATGTATTGCATACTTGAAAATTGCTAGGACAGTAGATTTTAAGTGTTCTCATCACAAAAGAAATGATAAGTATGTGAGGTAACACATGTATTAATTAGCTTGAGTTAGCCATTTCACAATGTATCCATATTTCAAAACATCAGGTTGTACACTACAAATATATACAATTTTTGTTTGTATATTTAAAAATTTTTAATATTTAAAAATTCAACTCAAAAATAAATTCTTGGCCAGGCACAGTGGCTCACACCTGTAATCTCAGCACTTTGGGAGGCCAAGGCGGTGGATCATGAGGTCAGGAGATCGAGACCATTCTGGCTAACATGGTGAAACCCCATCTCTACTAAAAAAATACAAAAAAAATTAGCCGGGTGTGGTGGTGGGCTCCTGTAGTCCCAGCTACTCGGGAGGCTGAGCCAGGAGAATGGCATGAACCCAGGAGGTAGAGCTTATAGTGAGCCGAGATCACGCCACTGTACTCCAGCCTGGTGACAGAGCAAGACTCTGTCTCAAAAAATAAAAAAATTTAAAAAAAATTTCAGTTGGCAGAACTTTGCACTATGCACCTTGTCATTCACTTTGCATGAAAAGAGAAGAGACTCAAAGTAAGTATGTACTGACACATGGTCAAATGGCTTGGCTACAGGTCAGGGGGATGGAAGGAGAAAATTTGGAAGACTGGAGAAAAAGACATCTGAGAAAAGGGCATATGGGTGGACTTATGGGGATGTACAAAAAGTATGAAGATCTTTGTTTCACATGTTAACACCTACAAGAGGTATCTATCAACAACCAAAGAGAAAAGCGACTCAGCCAGATGATGTTAGCCAACCTCTTCCATTGGCCAGCTCAGTACTGGCACAATTGGTGAATAAATATAGTGACAAGGATGGAGGCTATGCAGAGGCCCAAACAGCAGAAGTCTCCACTGACTAAGTCTTATCTAGCTACTGCTGCTTCTGAATGTCAAAGTTGTCATCAAGACAGAGTAACACTGAGGCCTCAAGATAGCATCATCCCTCAAGGACACCAAGTAGTCACCTGGTGGCAAGCTGAATGCACTGGATGCTTTCCATCACAGGAAGGGTAATGATTCATCTTGGCTGGAACTGATACTTATTCTGAGTACGGATTTATCTTTCCTACTTACATGGCCTCAACCAGCACCACTATCCAAGTGTTGACAGAATGTTTAATCCTCCAATATGGAATCCTACACATCCTTGCATTGTACTTTATAGCACTGTATAAAGGGAATGTACTTTGTAGCACTGTAGTTGCAGTGGTGGACACATGAAAATGCAATTCAGTGATCCTATTACAAATCATGAAATCACAACAACTAGAAGCTGTCAAACTGACGGAGTGATGGAACAGCCTCCAGTAGCCCTTTGAAGCTGCAGGGATGGGATACAAGCATATATCCTAGATCAGTAACCATTATATGGTCCCTTGTCGCTAATAGAAAGAGGATCATGGATTGAAGAAAGAGTAGCACTATTTACCATCACCCCCAGGGATTCACTTGGGAAATTTCTGCTTCTTATCTCTGCAATTCAATGCTGTTACACAACGGAAGTAGCCAGGAATGTGTTTGGCAGCCAAGGGATGTTTAAGTAGTCCCTTACTAAATTTTGATTGCTCAATTTAAAAGGACAAGTCTAGTAGCCATGGCTACTACACCCCCCTCTCCTATCACCAGGTAAGTGACCTAGACCAGTGGAGGTGCTAGCTGAGGGTAAGAATGTAAACCTGATAGTACCTGTATAGCAGGAAAGGCAGATGATCAATTTAGGGTGAAAGACCAGTTGAAGAGCCAAGGAGCTATTGTTCCCTCCATGAATGTTACTTTCACGTTTCCCCAGCAAAAGAAACCAACCAAAATCCTGGAGGAGCTATTCCTAGATGGAGAGAAGTTATATGAAGTCATGGATCCAAATGACATGAGGGATGGACAGAGTAGTGTCTTCTGTGCTGTGTAGTCCAGGCCTCCCTGCAGAATGGAGACCCTCATTCCCCAGCTTCCTTAGAGTGCTGTCTGTTGAGGGCACATGACTAAGTTCATGCCCTAGGAATTGCCCTCAGGCCAAAAGGAACTGTGTAGTAGAAGTCACATCCTTGGGGCAAGAACTTAATTTGAATTCATATTTATTGTTGTCAACAGAATTTTAAGTACTGTATGGTATGTACATGAAAGGAAAAGAACATTTGAAATGAGCTAATGTAGAGCGGATCTATTGGGGAACTATTGGTGAATAATGATGATGTGGTCAGTGAGGGTCACTGAAGTTCACAGGGTTATTTGAACAGAAAACAACTGGGAGAGGTGGATTTGACACTCAGATTGGGGGACTGAACAAATAATAAGGTATCTGGGCTTCAGTTTTCTCATCTGGAACATGAGGGACTAAATGACTGCCAAGTATCTTCCAGCTTCTATATTCTGTAATGCTTAAGTAGTCTGCAGAATATTAAAATGAACAGCACTGGGAGATAGCCCATGGGCTTGAAAAGTGAGGAAAAACAGGAACTGCCAGGGAGAGTTTGTTAAAACCTTAAAAACCTGTGCATGGCTGTTTATAACAGTTGTATTCATAACTGCCAAAACTTGGAAGCAACCAAGATATCCTTCAGTAGGTTAATGGCTATGCAAACTGTAGTACATCCAGACAAGAGAATATTATACAGCACTAAAAAGATATCAGATATTAAGCTAAGACATGGAGAAGACTTAAATGTATATTGCTAAGTAAAAGAAGCCAGCATGAGAAGGCTATATATTGTATGGTTCTAAGTGTATGACAATCTGGAAAAGGCAATACTATAATGTAGAAACATCAGTGGTTTTCAGCAATTTGAGGAAAGTAAGAGAGGGATACATAGGTGGAACACAGAAGATTTTTATGCTGATGAAACTATTCTGTATGATACTGGTGGATATCTGTCATTATACAGTTGTAAAAATTCACAGAACTTTACAACACAAAGAGTGAACGCTAATGTAAACTATGGGCTTCAGTTATAGTAATGTATCAATATGTATCAATTGTAACCAATATACCATATTAATACATGGTGTTAATAATAGGGGAAATTGTGTACAGAGGTAGGGATTGGGTGGAGAGTGGGATAGGAAGGTAGTGTTACATGGGAACTCTGTGTACGTTCTGCTCATTGGTTTCTGTAAACCTAAAATTGCTCTAAAAAACAAAGTCTACTAATTTTGAGAAATTTGATGAAGAATGAATATTCATGTAGTACCAAGGTATAACCTCAGAGATCACTGGCTAATTACAGAGGAAAATATACCATTATGATACAGATATCTGGCAATCATTACCTTAATTTAGGAATGAAAATTAGCATCACTGGCAGTGGGACAACCAGACATAAACTTCGTAATGTGCCGCTATTGGAAGTATACGACATCAACTTTGAATGATTCTGGCCAAAAAAGTTTAACCTGAATGTAACCAAGTCTTTAAATTTAACTTCAAATTTCAGAAAATAGAAGGGATAGACAAACAAACTAAATGAAACCATGAACAGTCCCACAAATCCAGAATGTGAGATATTCTACGTGACAACTAGCATGGTTCCTTTAAAATGTCAATACCGGCTGGGCACGGTGGCTCGCACCTGTAATCCCAGCATTTTGGGAGGCTGAGGAGGGTGGATCATGAGGTCAGGAAATCGAGACCATCCTGGCTAACATGGTGAAACCCTGTCTCTAGTAAAAATACAAAAAATTATCCGGCCGTGGTGGCAGGCGCCTGTAATCCCAGCTACTCAGGAGGGTGAGTCAAGAGTATCTCTTGAACCCAGGAGGCAGAGGTTGCAGTGAGCCAAGATCACGCCACTGCACTCCAGCCCGGTGACAAAGCAAGACTCCGTCTCAACAAAAAAAAAAAAAAAAAAAAAAAAAGAGTCTATGCCATTTAGCAAGGGATTAAGTATGGAGAAATGTACTGGATTACAAAATAAGAGACAAAAACAAAATGTAGTGTCCAGTTCTCGATTGGATCCTGGCTTTTAAAAATTGCTATAATTGAGAAACAATTAAGAAAATGTGAATCATAGGGTGTAATTATGCAAACCTAGATGGTATATATATGTATATTTTTGAGACAGAGTCTTACTGTGTCACCCAGGCTGGAGTGCTGGTGCGATCTCAGCTCACTGAAACCTCAGCCTCCCAGGTTCAAGCAATTCTCGTGCCTCGGCCTCCTGAGTAGCTGGGATTACAGGCACCTGCCACTGCACCAGGCTAGTTATATTTTCAGTAGAGACGGGGTTTCACCATGTTGGCCAGGCTGGTCTCAAACTCCTGACCTCAGATGATCTGCCCACCTTGGCCTCCCAAAGCGCTGGGATTACAGGCATGAACCACTACATCCGGCCCTATATATTTTCACTTATTTATTTTTTATAAGGAAAATCAAATGTTCCAGCACCACTACTGAGCATCAGTCATTTCCTCTACTTGAGCTGCAATGCCAATATCAAGGGCCATATACTGCTTATCAGGTTTCTATATATGTTCCAGTTTAATCTTATGAGACCACCACAGTTTAGATGGTCGACTAGTTGACTGAAATGTGTTAAATGGGGCATGACTGCTTATATTTGAAAATATTTGGGAGTTGAATAATTGTAAGGAATTACTGATAACTTGGTGTGAAAGGATAAGGGAATTGTGGTTATGCAAGAAAATGGCTTTAGTTTTTGAATATGCAGGCTTAAGTATACAGAGGCAAATTAGCATGATGCCTATAATTTACTTTTAATTCAAATTGAAAAATTACATAAAGAAAACTTGAAAAAATATTAACAATTAATTGGATTTAGGTGGTGGTTATGTGGGTGCCCATTTTTTCTACCTTTCTGTAGGCTCCAATGTTTCATAATTAAAAGGGAAAAAACGGGGCCACAAGAAAAGGTACAATTAAACATTAATGGGTCCCTTCTCCCAAGTGGTTAGTGCTGAGAGTGTGGAGTATGTTCTCCAGGATCAGCACATATTTATTATCTTGAAAAATCCATTCCCCCGAAAAAAATCCCATGAAAAAAACTTAAAAAAAAAAAAAGGTTTCTGTTTTAACACCCGTCACCCCTGCAAAACACTTTACAAAAAAATCCTTGTCTTCACTGCCAGAGATATTTTCCTTTTCTTCTTGTATAAGATTACCCGGTGAGGCAGCCGAGAGCGACCCACCCGCCCCCTCGCAGCTCCGAAAAAGCTTCAAGAAGGAACAGGATCCCGAGGCCTGGACGCTGGACCCTACACGCCACCCTCGTCCCAGCCCGCTGCGGGCCGCAGTTCTTCGGATTCCAGGTGATTTTATCTCTCTGCGCTGGCCAAGGCTTCCTCCCCAGCCCTTACTCTCCTTTCACAGAAAGGTCGCAGCCTGTGGCCCTACCGGCAGACAGGTGCAGAGGTGAGCCCAGCGTCCCAGCCATCCCCTGTCCTCGCACCGCACGTGACCAGGCCTGCTGGCCGGTCCTCTCTATCCCGGGCTACAGGAACCAGATCACCGGCGCTCCTTGGGAAACGCAGGATGTGGAATGTGCATAAGACCCCATGAATTTTGATGTTATAGAAGACTAGCCAATACACACTAAGTGGTCTCGGTGTGATCCATCACTCCGCAAAAATGGAGTGGGCAACATGTTCATAAAAAAATTGGACAAATCTATTGATTATAAAGCATTGCATGATACATCTGCTTTTGGTAACATCTTTTTGTTCCAGAAAAAAACAGGTTTTGTCATACCACCAGGAAAAGGCACGCAAACACTTGAAGGGTGAGGGGGAACGGAGTTTATTGGGTGGAAAGGAAAAAGGAAAAATAACTCTCAGCAAAGAGAGAAAAAGTCCTGCTAGCGGGTTTCCCACCTCATAAATTAAATCCTAGGTCACTACATGGGAACAGGCCAGACTCCTCTCCACTGCACACTGCACAAACTTCCCGCAGCTCCACCCCGTAATCCCAGTGCGCAGGTGGGCATTATTCAGAATCAGTGAGGAAAGGGCGGCTTCAACCAGGACCTGCAGTCCAGTTTATCAGCCTTCAGGCTGTTTTAGTCTTGAAGGTGGGGTTTTACCAGGGGACCCTTGGCTGCCTCCTGTCTCTATCACTTTCACATTAGGTGCTTTGTGGTGAAAACGGTTTCAAGGGTGATGACATTGTACATTTTGACACACAGAAGCAGCTGAAAGATCTATTCAAAAATGAAATGGGTGCTTCTAAATGATAGCAAAGTCTTTGTTGGATTAAGTCTTGTAAACAATGAGAGGCAGAACTCAGAGTTAAAAAGTTCACCAATGTTTACAGGAAGATTTTTGGAGAAGACATGGATGGTAGGTGTCTTAAAGATCTCTTTGGCAAGTTGGGATGTGTCTTAAGTGTGATAGTAGTGGTTAATGAAAGTGGAAAACCCAAAGGTTTTGGATTTGTCAGCTTTGAAAGGCATAAAGATGCACAGATGAGATGAACAGAAAGAAGCTCAATGGAAAACAAATTGATGTTGGTCAAGCTCAGAAAGAAGTAGAATGGCAGATGGAACTTGTGTGCAAATTTGAAAAGATCAAGCAGTATAGGATCACCAGATAACAAAGTGTTAACATTTATGCAAAAAATCTTGATGGTATTGATGAATGTCTCTGGAAAGAACTTTCTCCACTTGGTACAATCACCAATGCAAAGGTTATGAAGGATGGTTGTCACAACAAAGGGTTTGATTTGTGTATGTTTCTCCTCTCCAGGGGAAACAACTAAAGCACTTTCAGAAATGAATGGTAGAATTGTGGGCACTGAGCCATTGTATATAGTGTTAACTCCATGGGAAGAAAAGCAATGAAGAGCACCAGGCTCAGCTCATTAACCAGTACAGTATGTGCAAAGAATGGCAAGTGTAAAAACTATGCTCAACCTGGGAATCAGTCCCTATCAGCCAGCACCTTCTTCAATTGACTTCATGGCAGTTATCCCACAGACTGAGAGCCATGCTGCAAAGTATTCTCCTAGCCAAACTGCTCAACTAAGATCAAATCCTCCCTAAATTGCTCAGGGTGCCAGACCTCATCCATTGAAAAATATGCCCAAGCCACTCCTAGCTCACTACATTTAGTAGTAAGAGACCAGCTTCTTCACAGCTTCCACGAGTCATGTCAACACAGCTGTTGTAACACATCGACAGAGACAATAGGAGCACATTCTGCAGTTGCCGCTACTGCTACTACAGATACTCCTGCTGTTTGTACCATTTCACAGTATAAATATGCTATGGAAGTTCACAATCCTCAATGGCATTTTCATGCACAGCCCCAGGTTACCATGCAGCAGCCTGCTGTTCATGTAGAAGGTCAAGAACCTTTGACTTCCATGATGGCATCTGCTCTTCCTCAAAAGCAAAAGGAAACGAGTGAATGGCTGTTTCCTCTTCTTGAAGCCATGCCCTAGTCGTGCTGCTAAAATCATTGGCATGTTGTTGGAGATTGGTAATTTAGAACTCCTTCATATGCTTGAATCTCCAGAGCCTCTCTATACTAAGGTTGACAAAGGTATAGCTGTACTACGAGACCACCAAGCTAAAGAGGCTGCCCAGAAAGCAGTTAATGGTGCCACTGGTGTTCCAATTGTTTAAAACTGATCAGGGACCACAGAAAGAAACTTGAGCATCACTGAAGAAAAATATCTCAATATCGAAAACCTTAAATACTATGGAAAAAATTTGTAAAGTATAAAATAAATTTAAAAAGGAAACTTTGAACTTTACATACCAAGCAAATGTCAGATCTAACAAATGCAATGATAGTCCTAGATTACTTATTGATTTGAAAAGAAAAAATCCTCCCAAAATAATAAAATATAAAAACACTGTAATGCTTTTCAGACTCTGTGATAAATAATTTTCAGCAAAGTATAAAAATTTAAAGCTTTCCTTTAATTTTGTAATTCATTAGTGTGGAATAGCTAAGAATGTCACTTCTGTTTTAAGTAACAGAATTGATAACTGAGCAAGGAAAGGTAATTTGGATTATAAAATTTTGCTTTAATAAAAATTCCTTAAACAGTGAAAAAAGTAGGCAAAGATACAAAAAAAGTTTATAAGAAACAACAATCTTGTATTTATTTGTTATTTTATTTTATTTTATTTTATTATTTTATTTTATTTTTTTTGAGATGGAGTCTCGCTCTGTCACCCAGGCTGGAGTACAGTGGCATGATCTTGGCTCACTGCAACCTCTGCCTCCCAGGTTCAAGTGATTCTCCTGCCTCAGCCTCCTGAGTAGCCGGGACTACAGGCACCTGCCACCATGCCTGGCTAGTTTTTTGTATTTTTAGTACAGACAGGGTTTCACCATGTTAGCCAGGACGGTCTCCTTCTCCTGACCTCCTGATACACCCACCTTGGCCTCCCAAAGTGATGGGATGGTGTGAGCCACTGTGCCCAGCCTTATTTGTTTAAATACTGTAAACACTAATATCATACACATGGTTAACTGGTTGTAATTTTTAAATTATATTAATAAATTTTTATAAAAACTTTTTATAAATAAAAAACTTAAAATTTCAAATAAATAACAACATCTGCCACACTACCTTAAAACGGCGACTATTTCAGTATAATAATTATATATCACAGACACTTAGAGAAAGTTCAATAAATAAAGAATAAAAAGAATAGGTACAACAATTTTCCTCCTAATCAAAAACACAATTCCTCATTTTGAAAATTATTTCTTATCTCTCTTTTATTAAAATAAACTTTCTACTTTGAAATCTAATTCTCTTGTGAATGTAAAATACTATCTTGTAAATATATATATATACATATATTTTATTATTATTTTTTTTTGAGACAGAGTCTTGCTGTCTCCCAGGCTGGAGTGTAGTGGTGCGATCTCAGCTCACTGCAACCTCTGCCTCCTGGGTTCAAGCGATTCTCCTGCCTCAGCCTTCTGAGTAGCTGGGATTACAGGTGCATGCCACCACACCTGACAAATTTTTGTATTTTTAGTAGAGACGGGGTTTCACTATGTTGGTCAGGTTGGTCTCGAACTCCTGACTTTGTGATCTGCCCACATTGGCCTCCCAAAGTGCTGGGATTACAGGCATGAGCCACAACACCCTGCCTATATTTTTATTTTTTTATAAGTGACAATGAGATGTCCTCATGATTTAAATAGTAGTCAAAACACTGGCACAGTTTAAATTTTTAGAATTTGAGTACTAGAATTACAATATTTGAAAATGGAGTCTGTACTTTGTTGTAAAACTATAAAGAGAAAATGTCACTAAAACAGTACTATTTTATCTTTTCCCAGAGTTATTCTCCCAGAGTGTATTTTCTAAGTTATTTCCCAGACAGTTTTAGAACTTATGGCAGTTTCAGTGATATATTCTGTAAAAGCCCTTAGTCTTAATAGGAATAACACATAGTTTTGATTGCCTTAAATTTTAATTGCTTCACTTGGCAAATTTATGTGTAAATTTCATATTCTGTGGTATTTTAATACCTTGCTTGTGGATAAGAGGAAAAAGAGGAATGAAAGTAATATTCAGTCCTTGCATTGAGCTTTTGCCAAAGAAGTCTAAACAATTTCTAAAATGCCATTCAATAAGGCCATTTTAGAAGTGTTTATATGACTCTTATAACTTTAAAATAAAGAGTCTTGAAGTTAATTAAAACTCACTTTGCTTGTGATGGGTTCTACATTAACATGGCAGATTTAATCAGCCAGAATTAAAAGGTAATTCTATATTACTAAGGAGAAGAAACTGCCACATGACAGTAGTCTCCAAATCTTTCATTTTTGGAGGCTGCCTTTTATGCCTAGATTTAAAAATACTAATTGAAAAAAATATAGTTTACTTCCATTTGTGATTTAATTTTATTTCTATAAATAAAAATATAGATAGTGTTTCATCTAAAAACTGCTAAACCAGACTTTCATTTTAAGGGCATGGCAGAAATAAGGAAAGACTAACTTGGTTCTATTACTTAACATATTATTTATTCAGGTAGTCACCAAAACCAGAATTTAAAATCTATTCAGTTAACCCATTTAAAGTTGATGTGTTTTACTCCTTTTTTTTTTGTAGTGATCGTTTTAACTGAATTACTGGACATCATGGGGAGTTCTACTCCTCCTATTTGGAAACTTAGGCTATCTTACCAAGTTCAATATTCAAAGTTTTTCTTTCTGCCATTAAATTTGTTTAATTTTATATTAAGCTCAGTTTGTATTATGATATCAAATTCAGCCTGAGGGATTATTTTAAACTTTCCTAGGGATTTACAGATTTAATTTGTTCTTACAGTATGTAAATACCAAGAGAGCATTCCATTTAATTATTATTTTTATTAAATTAACTTTGGAGTAAAATGTCCAAGAAAAGCCCTGTACTGAAATCACATGTTTACTAAATCCTGGATTTTCTGTACAGTCCCTACATATTTCTACTTTAAAATTCTTCTGTCATGTGAAATAATTCATTAAAAGAAGCAGGCAGATGATGACAGGTAAACTTTTTAATGATGTTCTAATGTTGACAATTGCAGTTTTATTTTACTTGGATCATAATGGTGTGTAAGCATTTTAGGCCCCAGAATGCCCATAAGTAGAGCTCCATTTGGAGCTGCGATCGAGATGGCTAAAAATGCTACTGTCATCTCATCCTTCGCATATGGTTCCAAGTGGGGTGTGGAGACTCTTGCTGTTTCTAGAGCCAGAGGACCTAACACAGTCTACAATTAGGGGTAAAAATGGGGCATAAAGAAAAATATTAAACTGAGTTAATATATAATGTAAATGGCTCTGTTAAAATAAACAAAATCTAGTACTAGACTATTAGAAAAAAAGTACTCAGTAATTTTCATAAGTTACTCATCAGTTCCATGTTCTTCCTAGAAAATATATGTGGAGGAAGAGTACAATAGTGACAAATCAGCATGCAAACATTTTTGGGCTGATTTTGCACTCTTGTCCTCTCAGTGTTCCTCTATTCAAATATCTCTTTTGAGTGTTGCCCTCATAACACCAGGAGTTCTAAGGAAACCGGTTTTGCTTAGTTGCCTTTATCGTGTACCAGTGGTTTTTGACTACAAGAAGACATAATAAAATATTAAGTTTTCTTATGGTTCTCTAGGATTTGTTGCCCTTCTTCTCATTGTTCTCCTTATTCAGGGGGCACTGGGTTATAGCAGAACTGACAGCAGGCTTGGAATCTAGCAAACTGGGTTTGAATTCTATTTTTGCTGCAACCAGGCTAGTGACCTTGTACAAATGACTCACACTCTCTAACCTTCTACTTACTTACGTGTAAAATGAAGAACAAAATACTTCTCTTACTGGACGGTTGTGAAAATTAAATATGAGAATGTGAAGAATACCTGGCACAGAGTAGGTATTCAGATAGTAGTAAGTTTCTTTCTCCTTCACTCCTCATCCCCTGCCAGGTCAGAGAATGAGTTCCTTTGAAGTTTTTGTTTTAGAATGACTCTACTGGGTCACAAGTTTTTTTCCCTAGTTACCTTCTACCACATTATTTTTAATAACATAAAGCAAATTTCTTGCTAACTCTCTTTCCTTGTGTTTAATAACTAGGCATGAAATTGCCTTAAAATTTGGGGGAATTAAATACCAATATATAACATATTTTCTATGGAGTTGCAAAGTAACAACATTAAACATTACCTTTGATATGGAACATTATGGCAAAAGAACCCCTCAATTTAAGATCAATTTCTATATCCTAAATCAATAATTTAAAATGGTATTATTTTTATATCATAACTTTTAATGTACTGAACATGATCCAGTGTGCTGGAGGATGCTAGGGAGAAAAAAATAATCATGCAGAAAACCACCTTGAAAGAATCTTACAGTTTAGAAGAGGATTTGAACATAAAAGAACTGCCAACAGAAAAAAAAAAAAACAAAAACCAAACCCATTGACTTTTAGGAGATGATGACGATAATGGTGAAACTAGAAATAATATTTTTATAGTTATATGGCATTCATCATATGTCAGGTATCATTCTTAAAGCTTTCCATTTATCAATTCATTTAATTTTTATGACAACCTTATTATGTGAGGACTTTTATTAGATGATAAATGATTTCCTCCTAGTGACTGAGATTTAATATTATTTCTTTAAAAAAATCCAATTGCCAAGCTGATCTTACATTTGTAAACTAAATTATTTATTTACTCTCCTAATAGCTTCTATTTTTCCAGTCTAATTTTTATCAGTAACTCAAAACTAAGGAATAAGAGAAAGCTGAACCTTAGCCAATTTTATTTTAGCAGCAGAGAACGGCAGAAGAGGATAAAGGTGAAAATAATTTAAAATTGAAATTTAAATATTTGTTGATCGTATTTACTTGTGACATTATTGTTATCTATTATTGCTGTTGTGACTCTACTTGTATAACTAATTAATTTTTTATGTCTTGCCAGTTCCTGGAACCAGCTTGATATTCTTTGTGTAGAAGCTAGCCTGGAGCCAGCAGACAGGAATAGGCAGAAGCAGAATAATACTGCAGGACTCGAGTGAGTGGTCTCTTTCCTCCTACCTGCTTTTCTTTTTTCCCTGCTTTATGAAAATTATGAAATAATGAAACAAAATTGCAAGAGTATTGTTGGAAGGAGAGAGAACAGTTACTCCTTTTGTAGATTTATTATTCCCTACAGTAGACATTAAAAATAAAAAGTTATTATTTATATTACTTGAAGGTAAGATAAAATAACAACATTGTTTGTTAACTGAGCACCACCATATGCCAGAGAGAGTGTTAAGCACTTTACGTGGATTATCTCATTGAATCCTGACAACACTGCTAAGAAACAGATACAGTCATAGACTTCATTGTAAGATGAGAACACTGAAGGACTGAGAGACTAGAAAATAATTTTCCTGAGGTTATAGGCAAGTAACATGGTATTCAAAACAGGTAGTCTGGCCCTCTGAGCCTGCTTTTCTAACATAATAGAGGTTTTTTTGCATGAAAATTTAGGAGCTTCTGTTTTGGAATAACAACTAAGAAAAGAGCCACAGGAAATTAAGCTATATTATGCTGCCAAGTTAAACAGTCTGACAAGAAGTAGCAATATATTTTAGTAGGAGGAGAATCTCCTTGAATAACAGGGCAAAATTACAAGGTTTCCCTTTCCGTTCATTCATCCTTGCAGGCATGCAATACGTATTTGCCTCCTGCATGTCAGGCACTGTGTTAAGTGCCAGGGAGAAATAATGAAAAACAACTGCAACAACCAGACACTGTCCCTGTCCTTACATAGTCTATCAAAGGGGCGGGGGCAGGGATTTAGCCATTAACCAAATAGTATACAAATAAATGTGTAATTAAAAAAATATATGTGCATTTGTGTGATGGAGTGAGTGGAAAGGTAGGAAAAGTATTTTTTAAAAAATCAATGTTTCTCTATTTTACTTTACTTTTTTTTGTGACAGGGTCTCACTTTGTCACCCAAGCTGGAGTGATGTGGCGTGACCTCAGCTCACTGCAGCCTCAACCTCCCAAGTTCAAGCAATCCTCCTCCCTCAGCCCCCCAGTAGATGTGACTACAGATGCGTGTCACCACATCTGACTAATTTTTTTGTATTTTTTGTAGAGACGGGGGTATTACCATGTTGCCCAGGCTGGTCTTGAACTCCTGAGCTCAAGTGATCTGCCTGCCTCAGCCTCCTGAAGTGCTAGGATTACAGGCATGAGCCACAATGCCTGGCCTGTGTCTCTACTTTTTAAAATTGTAACATTTAGCTTTGTTATATTCAGCAAAATATAAAAACTCCAATTTTCAGATATATTCTTATTATATATTTTAGGAAAATAAAAAACATATTTTCATAAACTTAGGAAGTACTTATTGAAAGAATACTTTTTGATTTCAAAATAATTGCTTTTAAAACTGAGATTTCAAAAGGTTACGTTGGCTGGGCCCAGTGGGTTATGCCTGTAATCTCAGAACTTTAGGAGGCTGAGACAGGAAGGTCACTTGAACCTAGGAGTTCAAGATCAGCCCGGGCAACATAGCAAGACCTCCTCTTTACAAAAAAATCATAAAGAAAAGACCAGGCACTGTGGCTCATGCCTGTAATCCCAGCACTTTGGGAGGCTGAGGCAGGCGGATCACTTGAGGTCAGGAGTTTGAGACTAGCCTGGCCAACATGGTGAGACCCCATATCCACAAAAAATAAAAAAATTAGCTGGGTATGGTGGTGTGCACCTGTAATCCCAGCTACTGAGGAGGCCGAGGCAGGAGAATCGCTTGAACCTGGGAGGTGGAGGTTGCATTGACCTGAGATCATGCCACTGCACTCCAGCCTGGGCAACAGAGTAAGACTGTCTCAAAAAAAAAAAAAAATCTGAAAAAAAAGCAGTTGGGTGTGGTGGCAGGTGACTGTGATCCTAGCTACTCAGGAGGCTGATGTGAGAGGATTGTTTGAGCCCAGGTGGTTGAGGCTGCAGTGAGCCATGATCATGCCACTGCACTCCAGTTTGGGTGACAGAGTGAGACCTGGTCCCAAAATGAAAATAAAAATAGAAAAAGGTTACATTGAGTTTCTTTGTTTGTTTTTGTTTACTTATTTATTTTTTTGAGATTGAGTCTTGCTCTGTCTCCCAGACTGGAGTACAGTGGTGCCATCTCAGCTTATTGTGACCTCCGCCTCCTGGGTTCAAGCAATTCTCCCGTCTCAGCCTCCTGAGTAGCTGGGACTGGTTACGTTAATTTTAATGAATAGTTATGATCAATCAAACATTTAAAAAGTAAGGATAATAGCTCATATTTTGTGATTGGAGTAACATTTTTCATTTTAAATTTTAAAAGCATCAAAACGAAAGCATTAAGCAATAGGCTTAATATGTTCTTACCTGTACATATTTGGGCATCCATGCTAAAGCAATAAATATTTTCTCCTTAAAACTAAAACCAGCAAAGCACATCAATAGATATGTGGTTAAAATTCGAACACATAATGCCAAACTCAGAGTGGCAACAGATATGCCTACAACAGATGAAAACAAACATAAATAACAAAATATTTGTGAAGAAGTGTTCTTTATGCCCAGGAATATGATTTCTAAAACTTTTAAAAGCATTTTAAGGCTATTGTCTCTTCATGTGTTTAATTTTTACATAAAACAATGATAATAAAAATGAATATGATGGAGGATTCTCTGTAAAATGCAAGACAGTATCTGACGGTGGAGGTACCATGAAAAATAAGACAGATGACATTTATACAATTCTGAACTAATAGACTTTTTTTGAATACTTTTATTATTATTAATAATAATTTACTTTTTGAGAAGGATTCTTGCTCTGTCACCCAGGCTGGAGTGCAGTGGTACAATCTCAGCTCACTGCAACTTCCAACTCCCGGGTTCACGTGATTCTCCTGCCTCAGCCTCCTGAGTAGCTGGGATTACAGGTGCGCACTACCACACCTGGCTAATTTTTGTATTTCTAGGAGAGATGGGGTTCCCCATGTTAGCTAGGCAGGTCTTGAACTCCTAACTTTAAGAAATCCGCCCGCTTCGGCCTCCCAGAGTGCTAAGATTACAGGCATGAGCCACCACACCCAGCCAATAGTTTTAAATGAAAGTACTCAAAAAGTGCTGATCATATCAAATATGTTCCCTCAGGAAAGAAATCTTATATTTATTTCCTTAGAAAACTCAGGGAAGATATTCAGGGCTGTCCTTGGTTTAAAAAAAAAGAGCACACAGTGTAAAGGAAGAGCAATAGGAAAATATGACAGTGTATCAACATGTGTTTCTGAAGAAGGTCCTTGTAGCCATTCAAAGATATATTGTAAATAAAAATAAATGTATTTATAATTTTCTTAAATATTTTTGAATTTCATATTTTTTGTGCTCTAATTATTCTTACCAACAATATTTGATTCAAGCAGTGAAACAGATACTTCTGCTCCAACTAAACCAAAAAGAAGTGGTTGAAAAATATCCCATACATTTGTAATAATCTTTCGGACTTTCATCTATAGAAAAGAGAAATACATTTATAATTATTTTGGCACATAAATAAATTTCAGAAAGTTAAAGTCTCCCTCACCTTTTTTTTTTCACTTTTTAAGTATTTTAGAGATGCGGTCTTGCTCTGTTGCCCAGGCTGGAGTGTAGTGGCATAATCTTAGCTCACTGTAGCCTTGAACTCCTGGGCTCAAGTAATCCTCTCGCAGTCTCCCAAGTAGAACTACAGGTGTGTACCACCATGCTGGGCTAATTTTTAAATTGTTTATAGAGATGGGGTCTCGCTATATTGCCCAGGATGGTCTAGAACTCCTGTCTTCAAGTGGTCTCTGGCTGTGGCCTCTCAAAGCACTGGCATTATAGAAAGAGCCACCATGCCTGACCTAAAGTCACTTAACAGTTAATAAATTTAAGATACTTTATTTTAATAAAAATGTTAAACTTAATTAATAAAAACTGAACACTTCAATAGTTTTACTCAAACACTTAGGTAGAATTTGATTAAAAGAAACTCACAAAGCAATAAAATAATACTATTTGGCCATTTTGTCACAGAATAAGTGATGTCCTTAGGGTTCTAGCCATGTTTCATATGAGTTCCAGATTTTGTCTCTAAGTTAACTGAACAGAGATAGAACTACATCATGCCTGATGAGAACATACCCAGTTCATGCAAACATTTGGGTTCTCAGAAGGGGGTTGGGAAGCCTTCCACTAACAACCATCCTGGAACTCAATCCCATTAAAGTGAATCCTGATATATATAGTGTATACTACTAGGAAAAACAATTTGGAAGTCTGCTAGGCCTGCTTCCAAAAAACCCATGTTGAATACTTTAAAGTTACTTTTTCCTTAAAACAAAACCAAAACATATATTAGATTCTCATTTAGCTGCCTACCCAGCTTCCCTTTCTGGAAATGAATGCCTCCCAGTGCTACTTCCCCAATTAAAAGATTACAGGAAAGTCCCCTATTGGCCTACATTACTCTGGCTCTTCTCCAGGAATTTGGATGAAGAGATTTCAGTCTCAGTCTGGGTTTAATTTTTTTTTTTAAACAGAAGATACATAAGAACTTTGATGTCTCTTCCTTGAGGCATAAACTATCTTCATAACTATTTCCCTTATGACTGTGTTTTCTGATCCCCACTTATTATAGTTTAAAAAAAGAAAAACAAAGAAAAACGATGTTACTACTCTTTACAGTATAATTATCCTATTTGTTACTTTTAATCTTTAAAACTTGTTTTAGTTCTGTTTCTTTTACCATTTAAAAAAATTCTAGCAGTTTTAATTTTATTTATTGATTTGCATTTCATTCATTTCATTTCTTTTATAATTATGATTATATAAGAATACTAAGCAAAATGCCACTATGATTTTTGATTAGGGAACTTCTCAAGCTGATTCTAAAATTTATCTAAGAAAGAATATGTGTAGGAACAGCCAAAAATACTTTAAAAAGAAGTATAATCTATATTAGATTTTGACACATAAAACTGCAGTGATTTAAAACAGTAGTGTTGGCATAGAAATAGAGAAGTAGGATTAAATAGACTTCAGAATTAATATATATGGGAGAATTTAGTTCATGTTAAAAAACTGAATTATTAATGAATTGGTCAATAAATAAACAATTTGGCAAAAAATGACTGTCTAGTTTATGTGCATATATCTGTATGTACATATTCATCACATGCAAGTATATATGTGTGTCTGAATATGCATTTATATTTATGTGTGTATATATATATATATATACACACACACACATCAGGCATGATGTAGTTCTATCTCTGTTCAGTTAACTTACAAACTGTATGTGTGTGTGTACATATATATATATAGTTTGTAAGATACACATATGTATATATTATTACCTTACCTCACAGCATTCACAAAGATAAATTCCAGATAGATTAAAAGACTAAATAAAAAAACAAATTAAACAAACAAAAACTACCAAAATATTAAATGATAATACACAAAATAGTATATCTTTGTAATGTTTATACGTTATAATCTTCAGTGAGAAAGTCCTTCTTAAATGAGATGCAGAATCCAAAACCAAAACAGGAAAACCCAATAGGTTTGGTCATAGGAAATTTTACTTTCCTACACCAGAAACCATAAACAAAGTTGAAGATAAGCAAAAATTATATGCAATATATACATAACAAAGGATCAGTAGCCCTAACACTAAGAGAAACTATAAATTAGAAACAAAAAAATAAATAACCCAATAAAAATGGTCAAAGAAGATCATAGGTATTTTAAAAAGAATATATGAAGAGAAGCTTACTATACTACTAATCAGAGAAATGTAAATAAAGAATAACAACATCACATAATTGTAAGAAACTATAAGAATTGGATGGTGAGGTCATTTAATAGTAAAAAGAATAGAACTAGTGATAATATCAAGTGCTGTTGATGAGTTAAAGTATTAGATATTTTTGTGCACTGTTGGCAGAGTGTAAATAACCAAAATTTTTGAAGGGATAATTTAGCAGTGTCCATCAAAATAAAACACAGATCATTTCCAGCCAGGTGTGGTAGCTCATGCTTGTAATCCTAGCACTTTGCAATGTCAAGATGGGAGGATCCCTTGAGCTCAGGATTTTGAGACCAGCCTGGGCAACATAGACAGAGACTCTGTCTCAAAAAAAAAAAAAAAATCATTTCTAGGACTCTATTCCTACAGATGAACCTGTAATCCCAACACTTTGGGAGGCCGAGGCAAGAGTATCACCTGAGGTCAGGAGTTCAAGACCTGCCTGGCCAACATGGTGAAACCCCGTCTCTACTAAAAATACAAAAATTTGCTGGGCGTGGTGGTGCGCGCCTGTATTCCCAGCTACTAGGGAGGCTGAAATAGAAGAATCACTTGAATCCAGGAGGTGGAGGTTGCAGTGAGCCAAGATTATGCTACCGCACTCCAGCCTGGGTGACAAGAGTGAAACTGTGTCTCAAAAAAAAAAAAAAAAGACATGAACAACACTGTTTATGACAGCACTGTTTGTAAATAACTAAAAGTGGAAACGATCTTAATGTCTATAAATAGAATACTGGTTACTTAAAAAAATGTAAGGGGGTTAGATATTTGACAGTGGTGGGGAATAAAGAAATCTTTCTTTTACAAGCATTTCTATTTTTATTATTTATTTGTTTATTATTATTTTTTTTGTGTGTGATGGAGTTTTGCACTTGTTGCCCAGCCTGGAGTGCAATGGCATGATCTCGGCTCACTGCAGCCTCCACCTCCTGGGTTCAAGCAATGCTCCTGCCTCAGCCTCCTGAGTGGCTGGAATTACAGGTGCCCACCACCACGCCACCATGCCCAGCTAATTTTTGTATTTTTAGTAGAGATGGGGTTTCACCATGTTGGCCACGCTGGTCTCAAACTCCTGACCCCAGGTGATCTGTCCACCTCGACCTCCCAAAGTTCTGGGATTACAGGCATGAGCCACTGTGCCTGGCCTTTTACAAACATTCTTCATGGATTAATTGTATAATTAAAATTTCAATGAATACAATAATTAGATTGATATAAGTAATATAATAATATTATATAAAACTTGGGAAAAAGAGAAGCCTGATGTGATTAACTCAACTTCTGATTCCATATTAGTATATTTCCAGCTGCTTTTCCTAAATATTTTATTTCCTCGATTGATTCATACACTTTCTTGAGGATAGCAAACCTTTTGGAATATTTTCCAACCAGAATGAGGGGATTTCCTAAATATATGTAAAAAATTCAGTTGTCTTAGCTTTTAAAATATAGCATATTAAAAATATTCACCTTTTCTTGGGACCATTTTGTCCCTGCAATGAAACTCAACACTAGTGTGCATAATCCTCCAGATCCATGTAAACCAATATGTTGGCTGCCTAAGACAGCAGAAACACACGTAGTCAAAACAAGGAATCCTCTCTTCAATGTAAGTTTTTTCTAGAATTAGATAGATATTTAGAAATTAGTTTATATTAAATATATAATACAAGATTTGACATTATCTATTATATATGTTTGACCCTTTGATATTATGTCTTTAAATGTTATATTAAATGTCTAAAATTTTGATTTTCTTTCTCACCATACATTTTAGCAGACTTACTACCAAGTAACAAAATTTCCAATTAGTAACGTTTCATCTTCTGCCACATCTCTGATACTAGTATCAGTAAAATGGTTAAAGTGTTACTTTAAGTGAAGAAGAAAAGAGACCCATAAAATCTCCAATTTCATATAACATATCCAGTGAATTCTTAAAAAATATTTGAATATCTCTTTGGTCAATATGTTACAGCTAAATTTGGATGGAAATTACAGAAATACAAAAGTAATGGCATGTTTTCCTTTAAGGCAGGAAATGGCTAAGTTTGAGTGTTGCCTTTGTCAAAGGATAGCAGGAGTGAATTTCAGTCAGAAAATATGCAGAAATAAATGGGAACCTATCTCCCCCTAAAATGTTTAAGGGAAAATTTGGGGGAAATTATCAAACATCAATAGACAATTTAGTAGAGAAAGGGAAAGTATAATTCAGAGGGATACTCTGCATTAAGTATATTTTTTGACATTCCTTATTTGCCAAATCAGGAAGCAGAGACTTTAATCAAAGCCATTGACCTGTATCAATCACTGCTGTGCTCAGTTTTAAATACAGAGTAGGCATTGGAGGCTAGTTTTAGAAAAATAGAGTTAAGTACTAAATTTCATGGATCTTACCAAAGTTTAATATTTTGAAAAAAATGTCTAATACTATACTTCTATAAAATAGATTTTGTATTTACCTGGTCTTCACTTGGAAAATATCGAACAAAAAGTCCCAAAACAATTACTGCCAGCAGACTAATACATACGTTCCCTATAGAGGCTATGGCGTTATTAAGCATACCACCTGTAGGGGCACACAATAAAAAAAAAACACAAAGAAATATTTTCACATACACTACACATCAGAAAAGCAAATCTAGGTGGTTCATGAAGAAAAGTAAGCATTTTATAGAACAAATATATGCAAATGGTCCTTTTATAGTGACATGTATGAAAACACTTAGCTCTATTTAGTACATTAAATATATACTCTCAAATAATTTAATATATACACACAACTCAGAAATGTCCATTATATAAATAGGCCAGAAAACAAAGACTTAACAAGCACAAGATGCTCCCCTTACATAGCCAATTTAAAAGACAGAGTGAGGTAGTCCAGGTGCAGTGGCTCATGTCTGTAATCCCAGCGCTTTGGGAGGCTGAGGAGGGTGGATTACTTGAGGTCAGGAGTTCAAGACCAGCCTGACCAACATAATGAAACCCCATCTCTACTAAAAATACAAAAATTAGGTGGGCATGGTGACACACAACTGTGGTCCCAGGTTCTCAGGAGGCTGAGGGAGGAGAATCACTTGAACCCGGGAGGCAGAGGTTGCAGTGAGCTGAGATCGTGCCACCCCACTCCAGCCTGGGTGAAAGACGGAGGCTACACCCCCAAAGGAAAAAAAAAAAAGACCAAGTGAGGTACAAGAATTGAGAGAGACCGAAACACTTGTGGCACTTAGCATATGGCTGGTAAGGGCTATATCAACAATTCTTCTTTGATGTACTACATGAAAAAGAAACAAATGATTTAAACATGAAAAGAACAATGTAATAACAACATAAAAAATTTTGTTCCAGGGTCAGTCCTAGAAACATTCAATGGTCATTTAAGATTTCAGTATGTTTAAGTTTCTGCTTTTGGTGAAGAAAAAAGGAAAAAAAATACAAAAGATTCCAGTATATTTTATATTAATTAATATTAATATATCCATACTTGTAGTTCATTGTAATAAGTAAAAAGCAAAAAATAAAAAAAACAGAATGAGTCACAAAAATAGTTCAGTTAAGCTCTGGGTAGTGGATTCAATAGAGTACGTAAGTATATTTTTAGATATATTTTCTACTAAATATAACAGGCAGCGCATGGTGGGCTCACACCTTTAATCCTAGCACTTTGGGAGGCCAAGGCAGAAGGATTGCTTGAGCCCAAGAGTTGATACCAACTTGGGCAACATAGTGAAACCCCATCTTCACAAGAAAATAAGAAATTAGCCCGGTATGTGGTGTGTGCCTATAGTCCAAGTACTCAGTAGCCTGAGGGAGGAGGTCCCTTGAGCTCAGGAGTTCGAGGCTGCACTCTAGCCTGGCTGACAGAGCAAGATCCTGTCTCAAGAAAATAAAGTATAATAAAAGTAAAAAATAATATAAACAGAGTGATGTCAGCCAGGTGGTGGAATGACTCCAAACCTTGATTCTCCATAAAGATAGCAACTGAAAAACAATATATGGTCTAAAAGCCTTTATGGAGTTCCATAAACCATTAAGAAGTTGTAGTAGCACAGACAAGTGCAAAGCCAAGAATAGTGGCATTGAACAAATAAGAAAAGCTGTTGCATTATACTCATGATACCCCTTCCCCAAGCTCGAACAGGTTGGTTTGGCTGGGAAGCACTCAACTTGCAGCTTCTCCGTTAGCAGGGAAAGAGAAGACTGGAACGGAATAGTTTTATGAGGTTACCTGAAGCTCTCTCTCTCTCTCTAACTTGACGCCCAACTGGCATACCTTGGATGCATGGGAGCCACTGGGAATAAAGGAGAGGTCAGAGATGATGCAGCACCAGGGAACCTGCAGTACCACAGACAGATACCAGAGGGAGCAACAGCTCCAGAAAAAGAAACTGGCAAACCTCTACTTGGGATATTGCAATGTATAAACCCAAAGAAGATGCATTCCCAGAAAAAGTTTGAGAGGCTGCTGGAACCTATAGCCATGCTGATTCAGGTATGAAGTTCTTCCGTATGAAGCCAGCTGATAAAAACTGGGAGAAGTGGCAGTTTTTTCAAACGCCCAAATCTTGGCAAAAATAAATAAAAAATAAAAAATAACAAGACATAAGAAGAAACAGAGAAATCTGATGACTAAATTAAAGGAGCAAAATAAATCTCCAGAAACCAACCCTAAAGAAATAGATAAATCAGTTACCTGACAAAGAATCCAAATTAACTCTCTTAATGAAGCCCAGTGACAACAGAAATAGACAACTAAGTGAAAGCAGGAAATAATTCATGAACAAAATGAAAATATTAACAGAGATAGAAACTAAAAAAAAAAAAAGGAATCATACAGAAAATCTGGAGCTAAGGAATACAATAGCTCAATTGAAAAATTCACTATCGGAAATCACCAATAGACTGTGTAACTGCCCAATGGGTTCACCTCGTGTCCTGCTTAGACAGAGCTGATTTATCAAGACAGGGGAATTGCAATGGAGAAAGAGTAATTCAGGCAGAGCTGGCTGTGCGGGAGATCAGAATTTTATTACTACTCAAATCAGTCTCCCTGAGCATTCGGGGATCAGAACTTTTAAAGATAATTTGGCAGGTAGGGGCTTGGGAAGTGGGGACTGCTTATTCATCAGGTTGGAGATGAAATCAGACGGGGTTGAAGTGATGTTTTCTTGCTGTCTTCTGTTTGTGGGTGGGGTGGCAGAACTAGTTGAGCCATATTACCAGTCTGGGTGGTGTCAGCTGATTCATCCAGTGCAGGGTCTGCAAAATATCTCAAGCACTGATTTTAGGTTTTACAATAGTGATGTTATCCCCAGGAGCAATTTGGAGAGGTTTAGACTCTTGGAGCCAGAGGCTGCATAACCCCTCAACTGTAATTTCTAATGTTATAGCTAATGTGTTTATCCTGCAAAGGCAGACTGGTTCCAGGCAAGAAGGGGATCTTTTTGGGAAATGGTTATTATCAACTTTGTTTCAGAGTCAAACCATGAACTGAATACCTTCCCAAAATTAGTTCATCCTACTGCCAGGAATGAACAAGGACAGTTTAAATGCTAGAAGCGAGATGGAGTTGATTAAGTCTGATGTCTTTTGCTGTCATAATTTCTTCAGTTATAATTTTTGCAAAGGCAGTTTCAATAACATCAAGCAGAAGAAAGAATCAGTGAAACGGAAGACTAGTCATCTGAAATTATAGAGTCAGAGGAGCAAAAGGGAAAAGGAGTGAAGAGTGAAGACAGCCTAAGAGACTTACAGGATGCCATCAAGCAGACCAATGTATGCATTATGAAAGTGCCAGAAGGAGAAGAGAAAAATAAAGCGGCAGAGAGCCAGTTAAAAAAATAATGACCAAAAACTTCTCAAACTTAAAGAAGGAAATGGACATACAAATCCAAGAGGCTCAAAGAACTCCAAGTTGGATAATTTGCAAAAGACCTACAATGAGACACATTACAATCAAACTGTCAAAAGTCAAAGACAAAGAGAGAATTTTGAAAGGAACAGGATCAAAGCAACTTGTCACATACAAGGGAGATGCCATATGGTAATCAATGGAATTCTCAGCAAAAACTCTACAGGCCAGAAGAGAATGGGGTGGTATATTAAAAGGGCTGAAAGAAAAAAAAAACTGTCAACCAAGAACTGTATAGCCAGTAAAACTCTACTTCAAAAGTGAAGGACAAACAAAGAGTTCCCCAGAGAAGTAAAAGGTGAGGGAGTTGATCACCACTAGACCTACCTTACAAAAAATGTTAAAGGGAGTCCTCCAAGTGGAAATGAAAAGGCATTGGATAGAAATACAAAAACATATAAAATATAAACTTCTTTGGTAAAGGTAAATATATGAGTGAACATAGAATCCTTTAATACTCTAATGGTGGTAAGCAAAACACTTTTTTTCCTTTACTTTTTTTTTTTGAGACAAAGTCTTGCTCTGTTGCCCAGGCTGGAGTGCAGTGGTTTGATCATGGCTCACTGCAGCCTTGCAGTCATGGGCTAAAGCTATCCTCCCACCTCAGCCTCCCGAGTGGCTGGGACTACAGACATGCACCACCACACTCAGATAATATTTTTAAATTTTTAGCAGAGATAAGGCCTTGCTGGTCTCAAACTCCTAGGCTCAAGCGATCCTCCCATTTTGGCCTCTCAAAGTGCTGGGACTACAGGTGTGAGACACAACACCTAGCCTGTAATTCACTTTTAATTGAAGCATAGAATTTAAAAGGTAAAAGCATAATATTACTGTATTAAATTATGTGAATAAACAATATAAAATATATATTTTGTGACATTGATAACAAAGTGAGAAGGAGGTGTAAATAAGTAGAGTTTTTGTATGTGATTAAACTTAAGTTGTTGTCAATTTAAAATAGATTATTATAACTATAAGATGTTTTCATGTAATTCTACAGTAACCACAAAGAAAAGACCTACAGAAGATACACAAATAAAAATGAGAAAGGAACCAAAGCACATCCCTACCAAAAAAAGAAATCAGTGAAACATAAAGGGAGGCAGAAAGAGAGGAAAAGTGGAAAAAAATACCTGCAAGACATGTATAAAACAATGAACAAAATGACAATAGTAAGCCCCTCTCTATCAGTAACTACTTTAAATGCAAATAGGCTAATTTTCCAATCAAAAGACAGAGAATTGCCCGAATGGATTAAAAAAATCTAAACATATACTATATGCAAGAGACTTATGTTAGATCTAAACACACACAAAGGTTGAAAGTGAAAGGATGGAAAAAGATATTCAATGCATTTGGTAACCAAAAGAGAACAAGGATGGCCATACTTAGACAAAATAGAGTTTAAGTCAAATAATAGCACAAGAGACAAGGATATTACATAATAATAAAAGGGCCAATTGACCAAGAAGATATAGCAATTATAAATGTATATGCAACTAACAGTGCAGCATCTAAATATATGAAGCTAACATAGACAGAATTGAGGGGTAACATAGATAACAACATCATAATAACAGAAAACTTCAATATTCCACTTTCAATTATGGATACAATAACCAGACAGATCAACTGGAAAACACAGAACTTGAGCAACATTGTAGACCAATTGGACCTGTCTGACATATACAGAACACTTCACCCAATAATGGCAAAATATGCTTTCTTCTCAAGTACATACCAAGATTTTCCAGGATAGATGGCATGCTAGTCCACAAACAAGTTTTTAAAAAATTAAGAAAACTGAACTCATACCAAATATCTTTTCTGACCACATTAAATGAAATTACAAATTCATAGCAGAAGGAAAAAGGAAAAGTAATAAATACGTGGAAATTACAAAAATATACTCTCTTAACCAATTGGCCTGTGTGGTTAATATTAATTGTCAATTTGATTGAGGGATGCTTAGATGCCTGATGAAGCACTGTGTGTGGGTATATCTGTGAGGGTGCTGCCACAGGAGAATGATGGATGAGTTAGTGGACTGAGAGAGAAAAATCCATCCTCATTGTGGGTAGGCAACATGCAATTGGTTGCAAGTGTGACTAGAACAAAAAGGCAGAAGAATGGAAACATTCAGCTTGCTTAGATTTCTGTTTTATGCACTTTCTCTCTCTTCCAGAGCAGTATGCCTTTTTCTCCTCTTGCCCTTGCACATCAAACTCTAGGTTCTTTGGCCTGAGTCTTAGGACCCTGGGACTTGCATCAGCAGCCTTTTGGGAGCTCTCAGGCCTTGGGCCTCAGACTAGTGGCTGCACTGTCAGCTTCCCTGGTTTTGAGACTTCCAGATTTGGACTGAGCCATGTCACTGCCTTCCTTGGGAGCCATGCTGTAGGCTTCTCTCATTTTCCAGCTTATAGATGGCCTATTGTGGGACTTTGCCTTTGTAATTATGTGAGCCAATTCTCCTTAATAAATTATATTTCATATATATATAAATATATTCTCTTTTAGATACATGTATATGTATCTATATCTATTATCTATATCTATATCTATATCTATATCTATATCTCCTATTGGATCTGACCCTCTGGAGAACTCTGATTAATACATAGTCAAAGAATAAGTCACAAGGAAAATTATAAAATGTCTTGAGAGAAATAAAAATGGAAACACAACATTCCAAAGCTTGTGGGATACAGCAAAATGAATGTGAAGAGGACAGTTTATGTATCTAACTACCTACCTTAAAAAAGAAGAAAGATCTAAAATCAGCAACTTAGCTTTACACCTCAAGAAACTGGAAAAAGAAGAACTCAACCCAATGTTAGCAAAAGGAAGGAAATAATAAAGTCTAGAGCAGAAGGTCAGTTGCAGTGGCTCATGACTCTAATCCCAGCACTTTGGGAGGCCGAGGCAGGTGGATCACCTGAGGTCGGGAGTTTGAGACCAGCCTCAGCAACATGGAGAAATCTGTCTCTACTAAAAAATACAAAATTAGCCGGGCATGGTGGTGCATGCCTGTAATCCCAGCTACTCTGGAGGCTGAGGCAGGAGAGTCACTTGAACTGGGAGGCAGAGGTTGCAGCGAGCGGAGATCACGCCATTACACTACAGCCTAGGCAATAAGAGCAAAACTCCATCTCAAAATAAAATAAAATAAAATAAAATAAAAGGCTAGAGAATAGAAAAAACCCAATGAAACTAGTAGTTGTTTTAAAGTTCAACAAAATTGACAAATCATTAGCTAGAATATTTAAGAAAAAAAATAAAGAAGACTCAACTTCTTTTAGGAACAAAAGAGAAGACACTGCAACAGATATTACAGAAATAAAAAGGATTCTAAGAGTCTACTATGAATGATTATATACTGACAAGTTGGATAACCTAGGAGAAATGAACAGATTCCTAGTAACATGCAAGTTACCAAGACTAAGTCACAAAATAAAAAATCTTAATAAACCTATAACTAGTAACTGAATCAGGAATCAAAAACCTCCCAGGAAACCACATACCTGATAAGGGGTTAATATCTAAAATATATGCAGAATAACAACTCAATAACAAAACAACCTATATGAGAAATGGTCAGTTGACTTTGCTATGGTCCAAATGTTCTCCCAATATTCATATGCTGGAGACTAATATTCAATGTGATAATATTAAGAGGTGGGGCATTTTGGAGATGATAAGTTCATGAAGTCATAGCCCTCAGAAATGGGACTAGGGCCTTTATAAAAGAGGCTTAAGGGAGTTTGTTTTGCCTTTTGAACACGTGAGGACACAGAGAAGGTGCTATGTATAGTGAATATAGTGACCTCACCAGTCACTGAGTCTGCTGTAGCCTAAATCTTGGACTTCTCACATTCCAGAATGCAAGAAATAAATTTCTGTTTTTTATAAATTACCAGCCTAAGGTATTTTGTTATAGCAGCAGGAATGGACTAAGATAGACTTGAATAGACATTTTTTCTAAAAAAAAATACAAATGGCCAACTAGCATATCAACCCAACACTATGTGGAAGATGCCAAGGCTTGGGGATTGAACTCTGAAGCAATAGCCTGAGCTGTACATTGGCTCCTTTTAGCCATGGCTGGGACACACGGCACCAAGTCCCAAGACTGCACAGAGCAGCAAAGTTCTGGGCCTGGCCCACAAAACCATTTTTTCCCTCCTAGGCCTCCAACCCTGTGATGGGAGGGGCTGTCGTGAAGAACTCTGACATGCCCTGGAGACAATTTCCCCATTATCTTTTCAATTAACATTTGGCTCCTTGTTAATTTTGCAAATTTCTGCAGTCAGCTTGAATTTCTCCCCAGAAAATGGGTTTTCTTTTCTATCACATCATCAGGCTGCAAATCTTCCAAATTTTTATGCTCTGCTCCCTTTTAAACATAAGTTCTAATTCCAAACCATATTTTTGTGAGTGCATAAAACTGAACACTTTTAAGAGCACTCAGGTCATAAATTGAACACTTTGCTGCTTACAAATTTCTTCTACCAGATGTCCTGGATGGGTTCCAAGATGGCCAAACAGGAACAGTTCCGGTCTGCAGCTCCCAGAACGATCGACACAGAAGACAGGTGATTTCTGCACTTCCAACTGAGGTACCTGGTTCATCTCATCAGCACTGGTTGGAGAGTGCGTGCAGGCCCACAGAGGGTGAGCTGAAGCAGGGTGGGTCATCGCCTCACCCGGGAAGCACAAGGGGTTGGGGGATTTCCCTTTCCTTGCCAAGGGAAGCTGTGACAGACTACCTGGAAAAACAGGGCACTCCCACCCAAATACTGCACTTTTCCCAAGGTCTTAGCAACTAGCAGACAACGTGATTCTCTCCTGTGCCTGGCTCAGTGGGTCCCACACCCACACGCACAACAGTCTGAAATCCATCTGTGAGGTGGCAGCCTGGCTGGGGGAGGGGCGTCCACCATTGCTGAGGCTTAAGTAGGTGAACAAAGTGGCCAGGGAAGATTGAACTGGGTGGAGCCCACCGCAGCTCAACAGGGCCCATTGCCTCTAGACTCCACATCTGTGGGCAGGGATAGCTGAACAAAAGGCAGCAACTTCTGCAGACTTAAACATCCCTGTCTGACAGCTCTGAAGAGAGCAGTGGTTTTTCCAGCATGGCGTTTGAGTTCTGAGAATGGACAGACTGCCTCCTCAAGTAGGTCCCTGACCCCTGTGTAGCCTAACTGGGACACACCTCCCAGTAGGGGCTGACAGACACCTCATATAGACGGCTACCCCTCTTGGACGAAGCTTCCAGAGGAAGGATCAGGCAGCAATATTTGCTGTTCTGCAATATTTGCTGTTCTGCAGCCTCCACTGGTGATACCCAGGCAAACAGTGTCTGGAGTGGAACTCCAGCAAACTCCAACAGAACTGCAGCTGAGGGTCCTGACTGTCAGAAGGAAAACTAAAAAACAGAAAGGAATAGTGTCAACATTAACAGAAGATCATCTACACCAAAACCCCATCTGTAGGTCAAGAATATCAAAGACCAAAGGTAGATAAAATCAGAAGGATAGGGATAAACCAGAGCAGAAAAGCTGAAAACTCTAAAAATCAGAGCACCTCTTCTCCTCCAAAGGATCACAGCTCCTTGTCAGCAACGGAACAAAGCTGGACAGAGAATGACTTTGACGAGTTGACAGAAGTAGGCTTCAGAAGGTTGGTAATAACAAACTTCTCTGAGCTAAAGGAGGATGTTGGAACCCATTGCAAGGAAGCTAAAAACCTTGAAAAAAGATTTGACGAATGGCATACAAGAATAAACAGTGTAGAGAAGACCTTAAGTGACCCAAAGGAGCTGAAAACCATGGCACCAGAACTTTGTGATGCATGCACAATCTTCAATAGCCGATTCAATCAAGTGGAAGAAAGGGTATCAGTGATTGAAGATCAAATAAATGAAATAAAGTGAGAAGACAAGGTTAGAGAAACAAGAGTAAAAAGAAATGAAGAAAGCCTCCAAGAAATATGGGACCATGTGAAAAGACCAAATCTATATTTGATTGGTGCACTGGAAAGTGATGAGGAGAATGGAACCAAGTTGTAAAACACTCTTCAGGATATTATCCAGGAGAATTTCCCCAACCTAGCATGGCAGGCCAACATTCAACTTCAGGAAATACAGAGAACAACACAAAGATACTCTTTGAGAAGAGCGATTCCAAGACACATAATTGTCAGATTCACCAAGGTTGAAGTGTAGGAAAAAGTGTTAAGGGCAGCCAGAGAGAAAGGTCAGGTTAGCCACAAAGGGAAGCCCATCAGACTAACAGCTGATCTCTTGGCAGAAACCCTACAATCCAGAAGAGAGTGGGAGCCAATATTCAACATTCTTAAAGAAAATAATTTTCAATCCAGAGTTTCATATCCAGCCAAACTAAGCTTCATAAGTGAAGGAGAAAATAAAATTCTTTACTGACAAGCAAATGCTGAGAGATTTTGTCACCACCAGGCCTGCCTTACAAGAGCTCTTGAAGGAAGCACTAAACATGGAAAGAAACACCCGGTACCAGCCACTGCAAAAACATGCCAAGTTGTAAAGACCATCAATGCTAGGAAGAAACTGCATCAATTAACGGGCAAATAACCAGCGAATATCATAATGACAGGATCAAATTCACACATAACAATATTAACTGTAAATGTAAATGGGCTAAATGCCCAAATTAAAGGACACAGACTGGCAAATTGGATAAAGAGTCAAGACCCATCAGTGTGCTGTATTCAGGAGACCCAACTCATGCGCAAATTCACACATAGGTTCAAAATAAAGGGATGGAGGAAGATCTACCAAGAAAACGGAAAACAAAAAAAGGCAGGGTTTGCAATCCTTGTCTCTGATAAAACAGACTTTAAACCAACAAAGATCAAAAGAGACAAAGAAGGCCATTACATAATGGTAAAGGGATCAATGCAACAAGAAGAGCTAACTATCCTAAATATATATGCACCCAATACAAGAGCACCCAGATTCTTAAAGCAAGTCCTTAGAGACTTACAAAGAGACTTAGACTCCCACACAATAATAAAGGGAGACTTAACACCCAACTGTCAATATTAGAAAGATCAACAAGACAGAAGGTTAAAAAAGATATCCAGGACCTGAAATCAGCTCTGCAACAAACAGACCCAATAGACATCCACAGAACTCTCCACCCCAAATCAACAGAGTATACATTCTTCTCAGCACCAAATCTCACTTATTCTAAATTTGACCACATAACTGGAAGTAAAGCACTCCTCACCAAATGTAAAAGAACAGAAATCACAACACACTGTCTCTCAGACCACAGTGCAATCAAATTCGAACTTAGGATTAAGAAGCTCACTCAAAACTGAACAACTACATGGAAACTGAACAATTTGCTCCTGAATGACTACTGGGTAAATAACAAAATGAAGGCAGAAATAAAGATGTTCTTTGAAACCAATGAGAACAAAGACACAATGTACCAGAATCTCTGGGACACATTTAAAGCAGTGTGTAGGGGGAAATTTATAGCACTAAATGCCCACAAGAGAAAGCAGGAAAGATCTAAAATTGACCCCCTAACATCACAATTAAAAGAACTAGAGAAGCAAGAGCAAACATATTCAAAAGCTAGCAGAAGGCAAAAAATAAGATCAGAGCAAAGCTGAAGGAGACAGAGACACAAAAAACCCTTCAAAAAAGCAATGAATCCAGGAGCTGGTTTTTTGAAAGGATCAACAAAATTGATAGACTGCTAGCAAGACTAATAAAGAAGAAAAGAGAGAGGAATCAAATAGATGCAATAAAAATGATAAAGGGGATATCACCACTGAGCCCAGGGAAATAAAACTACCATCAGAGAATACTATGAACACCTCTACACAAATAAACTTGAACATCTAGAAGAAATGTATAAATTCTGGGACACATACACCCTTGCAAGACTAAACCAGGAAGAAGTTGAATCTCTGAATAGACCAATAACAGGCTCTGAAATTGAGGCAATAATTAATAGCCTACCAACAAAAAAAAGTCCAGGACCAGATGGATTCACAGCTGAGCTCTACCAGAGGTACAAAGAGGAGCTGGTACCATTCTTTCTGAAACTTTTCCAATCAATAGAAAAAGACAGAATCCTCCCTAATTCATTTTATGAGGGCAACATCATCCTGATACCAAAGCCTGACAGAGACACAACAACAAAAAAAGAGAATTTTAGACCAAAATCCCTGATGAACATTGATGCAAATATCCTCGATAAGATACTAACAAACTGAATCCAGCAGCACATCAAAAAGCTTATCCACCATGATCAAGTTGGCATCCCTAGGATGCAAGACTTGTTCAATATATGCAAATCAATAAACGTAATCCATCATATAAACAGAACCAAAGACAAAAACCACATGATTATCTTAATAGATGCAGAAAAGGCCTTTGACAAAATTCAACAGCCTTCATGCTAAGAACTCTCAATAAACTAGGTATTGATGGGACGTATCTCAAAATAATAAGAGCTATTTATGACAAACCCACAGCCAATATCATACTGAATGGACAATAACTGGAAGCATTCCCTTTGAAACCTGGCACAAGACAAGGATTCCCTCTCTCACCACTCCTATTTAACATTGTCTTGGAAGTTCTGGCCAGGGCAATCAGGCAAGAGAATGAAATAAAGGGTATTCAATTAGGAAAAGAAGAAGTCAAATTGTCCCTGTCTGCAGATGACATGATTGTATATTTAGAAAACCCCACCGTCTCAGCCCAAAATCTCCTTAAGCTGAAAAGCAACTTCAGCAAAGTCTCAGGATACAAAATCAATGTGCAAAAATCACAAGCATTCCTATACACTGATAACAGACAAACAGAGAGCCAAATCATGAGTGAACTCCCATTCACAATTGCTTCAAAGAGAATAAAATACCTAGGAATCCAACTTACAAGGGATGTGAAGGACCTCTTCAAGGAGAACTACAAACCACTGCTCAACAAAATAAAAGAGGATACAAACAAATGGAGGAACATTCCATGCTCATGGATAGGAAGAATCAATATCGTGAAAATGGCCATACAGCCAAAGGTAATTTATAAATTCAATGTCATCCCCATCAAGCTACCAATGGCTTTCTTCACAGAATTGGAAAAAACAACTTTAAAGATCATATGGAACCAAAAAAGAACCTGCATTGCCAAGTCAATCCTAAGCAAAAAGAACAAACCTGGAGGCATCACACTACCTGACTTCAAACTACACTACAAGGCTACAGTAACCAAAACAGCATGGTACTGGTGCCAAAACAGAGATACAGACCAATGAAACAGAATAGAGCCCTCGGAAATAATACCACACATCTACAACCATCTGATCTTTGACAAACCTGACATAAACAAGAAACGGGGAAAGGATTCCCTATTTAATAAATGGTGCTGGGAAAACTGGCTAGCCATATGTGGAAAGCTGAAACTGGATCCCTTCCTTACACCTTATATAAAAAGTAATTCAAGATGGATTAAAGACTTAAATATCAGACCTAAAACCATAAAAACCCTAGAAGAATACCTAGGCAATACCATTCAGGACATAGGCATGGGCAAGGAATTCATGACTAAAACACCAATAGCAATGGCAACAAAAGCCAAAATTGACAAATGAGATCGAATTAAATTCAAGAGCTTCTGCACAGCAAAAGAAACTACCATCAGAGTGAACAGACAACCTACAGAATGGGAGAAAATTTTTACAATCTACCCCTCTGACAAAGGGCTAATATCCAGAATCTACAAAGAACTTAAACAAATTTATATGAAAAAATCAAACTACCCCATCAAAAAGTGGGCAAAGGGTATGAACAGTGACTTCTCAAAAGAAGACATCTATGCAGCCAACAGACACATGAAAAAATGCTCATCATCACTGGCCATCAGAGAAATGCAAATCAAAACCACAATGAGATACCATCTCACACCAATTAGAATGGTGATCATTAAAAGGTCAGGAAACAACAGGTGCTGGAGAGGATATGGAGAAATAGGAAGGCTTTTACACTGTTAGTGGGAGTGTAAACTAGTTCAATCATTGTAGAAGGCAGTGTGGCAATTCCTCAAGGATCTAGAACTAGAAATACCATTTCACCCAGCCATCCCATTACTGGGCATACACCCAAAGGATTGTGAATCATGCTGCTATAAAGACACATGCACATGTATGTTTATTGCGGCACTATTCACAATAGCAAAGACTTGGAGCCAACCTAAATGTCCATCAATGATAGACTGGATTAAGAAAATGTGGCACATATACACCATGGAATACTATGCAGCCATAAAAAGGATGAGTTCATGTCCTTTGTAAGGACATGGATGAAGCTAGAAACCATCATTCTGAAAAAACTATCGCAAGGACAGAAAACTAAACACCACATGTTCTCACTCATAGGTGGGAATTGAACAATGAGAACACTTGGACACAGGGTGGGGAACATCACACACTGGGGCCTGTCATGGAGTGGGGGGAGGGGGGATAGCATTAGGAGATACATCTAATGTAAATGACGAGTTAATGGGTGCAGCACACCAACATGACACATGTATACATATGTAACAAACTGGCACATTGTGCACATGTACCCTAGAACTTAAAGTATAATAATAGAAAAACTATGACACTCTCCTACATACCATACCGGTAAAAAAATTATAAATTTTAGATAACCATCCAGAGATATTTCTCTAATTCTTGGAAAAAATATCAACATTGAAAACATCAAAAAAATTAAACAGTTCTTTTTTCATCCAAAAAACAAAAAAAGAACAATAGGGAATCCTCCCTAACTCATTTTATGAGGCCAGCATCATCCTGGTACCAAAGCCTGGCAGAGACACAACAAAAAAAGAGAATTTTAGACCAATATCCTTGATGAACATTGATGCAAAAATCCTCAATAAAATACTGGCAAACTGAATCCAGCAGCACATCAAAAAGCTTATTCACCATGACCAAGTGGGCTTCATCCCTGGGATGCAAGGCTGGTTCAACATATGCAAATCAATAAACATAATCCATTACATAAACAGAACCAAAGACAAAAACCACATGATTATCTCAATAGATGCAGAAAAGGCCTTTGACAAAATTCAACACTCCTTCATGCTAAAAACTCTCAATAAACTAGGTATTGATGGGACGTATCTCAAAATAATAAGAGCTATTTATGACAAACCCACAGACAATATCATACTGAATGGGCAAAAACTGGAAGCATTCCTTTTGAAAACCAGCACAAGACAAGGATGCCCTCTCTCACCACTCTTATTCAACATGGTGTTGGAAGTTCTGACCAGTGGAATCAGGTAGGAGAAAGAAATAAATGGTATTCAGTTAGGAAAAGATGAAGTCAAATTGTCCCTGTTTGCAGATGACATGTTTGTATATTTAGAAAACCCCACCTTCTCAGCCCAAAATCTCCTTAAGCTGATAAGCAACTTCAGCAAAGTCTCAGGATACAAAATCAATGTGTAAAAATCACAAGCATTCCTATACACCATTAATAGACAAACAGAGAGCCAAATCATGAGTGAACTTCCATTCACAATTGCTACAAAGAGAATAAAATACCTAGGAATCCAACTTACAAGGGACATGAAGGACCTCTTCAAGGAGAACTACAAACCACTGCTCAACGAATTAAAAGAGGACACAAACAAATGGAAGAATATTCCACACTCATGGATAGGAAGAATCAATATCATGAAAATGGCCATACTGCACAAAGTAATTTATAGATTCAATATCATCCCCATCAAGCTACTAATGACTTTCTTCACAGAATTGGAAAAAAACTACTTTAAAGTTCATATGGAAACAAAAAAGAACCTGCATTGCCAAGACAGTCCTAAGCAAAAAGAACAAAGCTGGAGGCATCACACTACCTGACTTCAAACTATACTACAAGGCTACAGTAACCAAAACAGCATGGTACTGGTGCCAAAACAGATATATAGACCAATGGAACAGAACAGAGGCCTCAGAAGTAAAACCACACATCTACAGCCATCTGATATTTGACAAACCTGACAAAAACAAGAAATGGGGAAAGGATTGCCTATTTAATAAATGATGCTGGGAAAACTAGCTAGCCATATGTACAAAGCTGAAACTGGATCCCTTCCTTACATCTTATACAAAAATTAATTCAAGATGGATTAAAGACTTAAATGTTAGACCTAAAACCATAAAAACCCTAGAATAAAACCTAGGCAATACCATTCAGGCCATAGGCATGAGCAAGGACTTCATGACTAAAACACCAAAAGCAATGGCAACAAAAGCCAAAATTGACAAATGGGATTTAATTAAACTAAAGAGCTTCCAGCAAAAGAAACTGCCATCAGAGTGAACCAGGCAACATACAGAACGGGAGATAAATTGCAATCTACCCATTTGACAAAGAAAGAATTCAAACAAATTTACAAGAAAAAAACAACCCATCAAAAAGTGGGCAAAGATATGAATAGACACTTCTCCAAAGAAGACATCTATGCAGCTAACAGACACAAGAAAAAAAGCTCACCATCACTGGTCATCAGAGAAATGCAAATCAAAACCACAATGAGATACCATCTCACCCCAGTTAGAATGGCAATCATTAAAAAGTCAGGAAACAACAGATGCTGGAGAAGATATGGAGAAATAGGAAAGCTTTTACACTGTTGGTGGGAGTGTAAACTAGTTCAACCATTGTGAAAGACATTGTGGCGATTCCTCGAGGATCTAGAACTAGAATTACCATTTGACCCAGCAATCCCGTTACTGGGTATATACCCAAAGGATTATAAATCATGCTACTATAAAGACACATGCACATGTATGTTTATTGCGGCACTATTAACAATAGCAAAGACTTGGAACCAACCCAAATGTCCATTAATGATGGACTGGATTAAGACATGTGACACATATACACCATGGAATACTATGCAGCCATAAAAAAGGATGAGTTCATGTCCTTTGCAGGGAGATAGATGAAGCTGGAAACCATCATTCTCAGCAAAACTATCACAAGGACAGAAAACCAAACAGCGCATGTTCTCACTCATAGATGGGAATTGAACAATGAGATCACTTGGACACAGGGCTGGGAACATCACACACTGGGGCCTGTTGGGGGGTGGAGGGCTGGGGGAGGGAGAGCATTAGGAGAAATACCTAATGTAAATGATGAGTTGATGGGTGCAGCAAACCAACATGGCACATGTATAGCTATGTATCAAACATGCACGTTGTGCACATGTACCCTAGAACTTAAGGTATAACAACAACAACAAACGTTTCTTCTACCAGATGTCCTCAGTCATCTCTCTCAATTTCAAAGTTCCATAAATCTCTAGGGCAAGGACAAAATGCCACCAGTCTCTTTGCTAAAGCATAGCAAGAGTGACCTTTACTTCAGTTCCCAACAAGTTGTTCATCTCCATCTCGGACCTCCTCAGCCTGGACTTCACTGTCCAAGTCACTATCAGCAGTTTGGTCAAAGCCATTCAACAAGTCTCTAGGCAGTTCCAAACTTTCCCACATCTTCTGATCTTCTTCTGAGTCCTCCCAACTGTTCCAAAGTCTGCACATTACACAGTTCCAAAGTCACTTCCACATTCTCAGGTATCTTATAGCAATACTCCATTACCTCAGTATCAAAATCTGTATTAGTCATGGTTCTCTAGAGGGATAGAACTAATAGAATATATATATATGAAAGGGAGTTTATTAAGGAGAATTGAATCACACCATCACAAAGTGAAGTCCTACAACAGGCCGTCTGCAAGTTGAGGAGCAAGGAATCTAGTATTGGCTCAGTCTGAGTCCCAACACCTCAAAAGTAGGGAAACAGACAGGCCAGCTTTGAGTCTCTGGATGAAGGCCTGAGAGCCCCTGGAAAACAACTGGAGGAAGTCCAAGAGTCCAAAAGCCAAAGAACCTGGAGTCTGATATTTGAGTGCAGGAAGCATCCAGCATGGGAGAAAGATGAGGGCCAGAAGGCTCAGCAAGTCAGCTTCTCCTTACCTTCTTCTGCCTGCTTTATTCTAGCCATGCTGGCAGCTGATTGTATGGTGCCCACCCACATTGAGGGTGGATCTGCCTTTCCCAGTCCACTAAATAAATGTTAATCTCCTTTGGCAACACCCTCACAGACACAACCGGGAACAATACTTTGGATCCTTCAATCCAATCAAGTTGACACTTACTTAATATTAACCTTCACAATGTAATATTCATCCCATTTGTAATTTTTCTTTAATATACAAGCTCCTTGAGAACATGCACCATTTGATCTTGTCTCTCTGTTGTGTTGGGAGGCAGTGGAGAAGAGAAGAGTTAAATGTGTGGGTGTGGAGGGAGACTGTCAGATTTGCATCTTGGCTCCCCTACTTATTGGATCTCTGTCCTTGAGAAAATTACTTAACATCTTTCTCGGTTTCCTTACCTGTAAATGAGTGGTGACATATATGGAACTTAGAACAAGAGTCAAGCAAGTATTCAATAAAAGCTAATGTTGTTGCCTACTGTTTATTCTCAGTGTTTGGCATAGTAGCTGGCAAAAGGAAGAGGAATACTTTTTTTCTTTTTTTCAGACAGTATCCCTCTGTCACCCAGGCTGGAGTGCAGTGGTGTGATCTTGGCTCACTGCAACCTCTGCCTCTTGGGTTCAAGCGATTCTTGTGCCTCAGCCCCCTGAGTAGCTGTGATTAGAGGCCTGTGCCACCACACCCAGCTAACTTTTTGTATTTTTAGTAGAGATGGAGCTTTGCTATGTTGGCCAGGCTGGTCTTGAACTCATGTCCTTAAGTGATCCCCCCGCTTTGGCCTCCCAAAGTGTTGGGATTATAGGCGTGAGCCATTGGGCCCAGCCTGGAAATATTTTTTGGAAACATGACTGATAACAATATTTTTTGAAAGAATGACAGATACCAATCATGAAGGAAAAGATTTTCACAATTGACAATAAAAAACTTTAACTTCTGAATGGTAAAAAGAGTGAGAAAATTAAAAGCCAAATTACAAATTGAAAAAACTAAAGTATATAAAACAAAGGTTTTCATTCTCAATTTAATGCAGAATCTTGACAAATCAAAAAGAATAAAAGGTGAACCCACCTAAAAGAAATAGGCAAAAAACTTTCAAGAAAAGCAATTTACAAAATGCCAATGACTAATAAACATGGATATTTAACATCACTAGTATTCAAAGTACTTCATTTATAGAGATCCCTCCTTCACCTATCAAATTAGCAAAGATGAAAAAGGCTAGTAATACCAAGTTTTGAAGAGAGGTGAGAGGAAATGACAAGTTTATGTACCCGGGTAGGACATGATATTGTGGCAATATGTTTCAGAACACTCATAAATGTATATACATTTTAGATCAACAATTACACTTTTAAGCTTAAGAAAATATGAAGATTAGGTACAAATATTTCTCTATATGTTCAACTAAGTATATTTTTTAATTAAAAAATTTTTTTTGAGACAGAGTCTTGCTCTGTTGCCCAGGCTGGATAGCTCACTACAGCCTCCGCCTCCTGGGTTCAAGTGATTCTTCTGCTTCATCCTCCTGAGTAGCTGGGATTACAGATGCCCACCAACATGCCCGGCTAAGTTTTGTATTTTTAGTGGAGACAGGGTTTCACCATGTTTGTTGGCCAGGCTGGTGTTGAACTCCTGACCTCAAGTGATCCACCCTTCTTGGCCTCCCAAAGTGCTGGGATTATAGGTGTGAGCCACCATGCCCGGCCAATTTTTTAATTTAAAAAAAATTTTTATAGCAACACAACTACGTATCATTTTAATAGTAAATATTGGAGTTAACTTTAATTTTGAACAGGATAAGTAATCATGATGCAGCACATTGAATACTCTTTCATTAAGCTAAACAACTATTAAAAATGATATACAAATACATTTACTGTAAAGAAACATGTTTGTGATATACAGTTAAGTGTAAAACAATTCAGTTTATAAGAACATATTAGGCCGGGTGCGATGGCTCACGCCTGTAATCCCAGCACTTTGGGAGGCTGAGGCAGGCGGATCACGAGGTCAGGAGATCAAGACCATCCTGGCTAACATGGTGAAACCCTGGTTCTACTAAAAATACAAAAAAAATTAGCCGGGCGTGGTGGCGGGCGCCTGTAGTCCCAACTACTTGTGCAGTTGAGGCAGGAGAATGGCATGAACCCGGGAGGCAGAGCATGCAGTGAGCCGAGATTGTGCCACTGCACTCCAACCTGGGTGACAGAGCAAGACTCCGCCTCAAAAAAAAATAATAAAAGAACATGTTGGTAAATATTCACTGATTTTTATAAGAATATTTGACAGAGAGAGAGGGGTAAGGGAAGGGAAGGGGGAGGAGAGGGGAAGGGAAGAGAAGGGAAGAAGGGAAGAAGGGAAGGGAAGGGAATATGGGTGGATTTATACCAAAAGGTTCAGAAGGAAATGATTCTTTTCTTCTGGATGTGACTATTGCAGATTTTATTTTTAACTTTTCCTCTTTTTCTTATTTATTTATATTTTCTTATTTTAAGAGAAACTATAAAACTATATATATTACTTTTCAACTTAAAAATAGTTTAGCGCTTCAATAATACAGAAGACTCAAACATTGCAGATAATTAAAGCATTACTACATGTGGAAATGTTTAGTTTCACAATTTCTGTAGTGATATTCAAGACCAGATATCACCTTGGGAATCAGAACTGGTGCAGGATTTTGTCCTAACACTACCAAAAAGGCATATGGCTGTCCCAGCTCTGTATGTTTATGTTGTCTTATAATAGAGCAACCAGTTGTTTATTAGGATGGCCAAAAAGGCGCATTTCAAAAATGCCTATTAAAATATTAGTAGTACAAATAATACTGCTGCTTAATTTTTTCTAATGAGAACTGATAAAATTCAAAAGCAACATAAGCAGATAAATAGTAATAATATGGTTTATCAAACTAATTGTCATATGATTATTAAAGTGAGATCATGTGTGTTAAGTAGTGGTATCTTAAGCCACTGAAATATCTTCCTTGGTCTGGAATGAGCTTTCTATGGAGATTAAAAAGATGTTAAATTGAACAGTCTTGGTTAATAAATGAAGAAGCAAAGCCAGAAACCCTGTTTAAAGAACTAACAAAAAAGGTCATGAATGATCTGGTGGTTGTTATATTTTCTTGTTTACCCGAGGAGAAGACTATGCTCAAGCATGTATTGAATCCAGTGAGAGCCAGAATGTCATCCATACTGCTAGCAGCCATTAGTAAGGTTGGAATGTCTTCCTCAACACCATATCCATTTTCTTGCAACACCATCGTGTAAAGAACAACAACAGCAGGAGAGACAGCACCTAGAACAAAACTGAAAGAAGAATGAAAATTAATTTAAAAGCATCTTTTTAATCAAGTAGTGTTTTATAAGTACAAGTAGTTTATAATAAATTTATAACAAACATTGTTTAGAAGAATTTCAAATTTGAGTGAATGCAATTTAATGGTGATAAAACTTTCCATGCATTGTTTAGTGCTGGCTAAAATTTTATACAGACGTTGTTTAAAATGTTGGGCTGAGCACAGGTTGCAGCCTCTCCCTCTATTCCTAAATCCTTAGAAGTGAAGATGTAAAGGTAATAGAAAAATTCATAACCTAACTAGAAAGCAAAAGGTGAATCATCAATGGACAAGTAACTAAGTATATGCCAGAAAGATAAGAGACAGACAATTTAGGATTGAAAAAAGGAAACCATAAACCAAAATGTGTGTAAATAAAATTGCCTCAAAAGATACATGTGCTTCTAAAAGTGGTCCAAGCCCTGAAATGACAGATGCTGGGAGCAGGAGAGACCTCTGGGGAAACCAAATAGTTGATTATTTGGAGTACCACTGTAAGAATGGTCAGACAAATCTACCTTCCACACATTTCCTACCTCTTGAGTAAATAAGTAAGTAAGGAAGGAAGGAACAGAGTTGTCTGCCCAAAAGAACAAGTGTGGCCACCTAAGTTACAAAGGCAAATGAGAACATTTCTGGAGTGGTTGATGACACCCATGAGGAATGGGGAGGCTCCTGCTCAGAATACTTTCTATTGGCATATCTTATCCAGAAATTCACCTCATCTCTTCTACATTTACTTTATAAAGTGTGAAGTATATCCTGTGTAGAAATGCTTTTGGTGCTCCTGCCAGAATCCATTTACCAGGTCTATGAACACATCTCCCAGTGCTTCTTGTTGGCTGCTAATATCTGCAGGTTTCTAGAACCTTTGTCCTGCTGACAAGCACCTACCTGGGAATACTAGGGAGGTTGTGCACCCCTCTACTTTCCCTCCAGACAGCATCTGCCAATGACGTACTGATGTGAGATTTGCTTCTGGCTGTACAACTCTATGGCGCAGTTTATGCTACAGATTTCCCTGTGGGCTCAAGAAGAGACTAGACTTCTCTAAAACCACATACTGGTCTAGTTCAGTGGTTCCTGAACTCTGCTGCACATTGTAATCACCTGTTGTATTATTTTTCTTATTTTGCTTAACAAGTCATCCCCAAACATAGCAGCTTAAAACAACAAATATTTATTGTCTTATGACTTCTGTGGGTCAGGAATCTGGGCATGGCTTAGTTGTATGCCTTGACTTAAGATTTCCCATGAGGTAGGGTGGGGTGGAGAAGATCTGCTTCCAAGTTTACTCATGTAGCCATTGCAGGCTTCAGTTTTTTCCAGTGGGGTTTTCTCCACAGGGCTGCCTCAGGACATGGCAGCTGGCTTCCCCAGGAATAAGTGATCAAAGAGAATTTAATCCACAACATCAATTAAAAACACAAAGTATCTAAGAACAAAACTGTGAAGACAGTCTATACTTTTATAAAAATTGTGAATATAATAATATAATAATTAAGATAATACCTGAATACTTAGGGAGACATTTCACAAGTGTGAACTAAAAAGCCCCAATTTTACCATCGCTCAACACCACGCCTGGCTAGTTTTGGTGTTTTTAGTAGATACGGTGTTTCATCATTTTGGCCAGGCTGGTCTTGAACTCCTGACCTCAAGTGATATGCCTGCCTTGGCCTCCCAAAGTGCTTGGCTTATAGGTGTGAGCCACCATGCCTGGCCAAAGCCTCAATAATATAAAGATGTAAACTCTCCCCCAAATGAATTAATCAGATACACCAATCAAAATCTTTGCAGGGATTTATACTGAGCTTGACAAGCTGATTATAAAATTCATTTGGAAGAATAAGGTCTTAGAATGAAAGATCAAGTAAACTTAAGAAAACAAGATACTGTTTTTGTAAAGGTAAAATAGTTAAAACTGAATAATAGTGACATATAAAAAGACAAAATAAATTGGAAGAAAAGAGAATACAAAGTGTGGAAACAAATCTATGGGATTTGTTACATCATACAATTGGTATTTTAAATCAGTGGGAGAAAGAAAGAAATCTTTCACAAATGGTGTTGAGATAACTATTTATGTGGAAAGGAATATAGATAGATCCTTACATATAATAAATGTTAAAAGCTCAAAAGGAAAAGTAGTAATAAGAAAATGTAGTGGGCTAGGCCTGATGGCTCACACCTGTAATCCCAGCACTTTGGGAGGCTGAGGTGGACAGATCAGGAATCTGAGAACAGCCTGGCCAACATGGTGAAACCAATAGCTGGGTGCAGTGGTGCATGCCTGTAGTCCCAGCTACTTGGGAGGTTGAGGCAGGAGAATCACTTGAACCTGGGAGGTGGAAGTTGCAGTGAGCTGAGATCATGCCACTGCACTATAGCCTGGGTGACAGCAAGACTCTGAACAACAAAAAAAAGATGTAGAATAATATATTTGTGATCATGAGGTAAAAAGGACCTTTTGAATGATACATACAAAGACATTAGACATAAAAAGAGATTGTAATACATTCAATTATATTAAAGTAGTACTTCAAAAGCAACTTCAAAAGTACTATAATAAAGTACTACTTCAAAAGCAATTCTGCTCTTTCTCCCCCTTTTTCTTTTTCATTTTCAAAGTCAAGTGAACGGTGTTGTGTATTGGCAATTCTGTCTGTTGAAAATAACAAAATACACTTCTTAGAGTGAAAAAAAAATCATCACAAACAAAATTAAATATCTACTGATATTTGCAATACATATAATTTACAAATGCATATAACAGATATAATTAATAAAGAAGACCAACTCAACAAAAAAATGGACAAAGGATATGAACAGGCTAGTTACAGATAAGGAAAAGCTGAAGGACAACACGTATATAAAAGATATTCAAGCTTGTGAATAATCACAGAAATGCAAACTAAAATAACAAAAATATGCCATTTTTTCAATGATCAGACTGGAAAACATTATAAAATTTAATAATATCAAGGATTTGCAAGGATTTTCAAGAACAACAGGTATGCTCATAAGCTATTGGTATTAGGGCAAATTAAAGTGGCCATACCAAAAAGATTTTGGCAGTATACATCAAACTAAAAATTCATGTAACCCAGGTAACTATTCTAGACAAACTTATATTTATATAAAATGAGACAAATAAAATGCTATTTTTGTTATAACATAGTAAATAAAATCTGCTGTTGACATACAATGTAATCTTATACAATTAAAAGGAATAAACTACATGTGTATCCATCTTGAGATGGATAAACCTCAACACTATTGTTGAGTGAAAAGAACAAATTGTAAAGTAAAATTTTCTTGGATATGATTAAGTAATAATGCACAAAATAATACTCTTTTTTTCTCTGGGTTCACAAATACATTTGTTAGAAGTCTAGAACATTATTTTTAAAGATTTAGAATGATAACATAAAACTCATGAAGATGCTGCCACTCTGTCTCCAGCAGCACATGAGTGCACCCCACAACACCATTGCCCCGGCTGACACATGCAAGTATGCAGAACACCCCCATCCCACTCCTGCCAGCACTGCACCCCTGCCAACACATGCATACCTGCTGTGTGCTGCTGCTGCTGACACATATGTGTGAGTGGGGACCTTGCTACAATCACTACAATGAAGCACTTTGGCTGGCACACCCCATCAGAGTGTTGTTGCCAGTGGACTGGGAACACCTCAGTGCTTAACATTGAAGGGCCAGACAACAAATCTGTTGGTATGGTACCAGCCTTGCAAAGTTAGAGTATGCAGTTCAGGAGTGCTGAGCTGAGCCTTTACCCCCTGAAATCTTCCAGAAATGAAGCCATTTGACTGAAACTACCTTGTGCCACAGTCAAACCCTCAAGGGCATTAAAGAATATAAAAAAGGAAAAAACTCCATCCAAAGGACAGTGATTCAAAACATTAAAGGAACCTTAGCTCACACAGATGTGAAAGAACCAGTGCAAGAACTCTGGCAATGTAAAAATCCAGAATGTCTTCCTGTCTTCAAGCAATCATACTAACTCTCCAACAATGGTTGTTAACCAGGATTAAATGACAGACATAGAATTCAGAATCTGGATAGAAACAAAGATCATTGAGATTCAGAAGAAAGTCAAAATCCAATCCAAATAATCTAAGGAATCCAATAAGATGACATAAGAGCTTAAAGATGAAACAGGCATTTTAAGAAATAACCAAACTAAAGTGATAGAGCTGAAAAATGCACCTCAAGAATTTCATAATACAATAACAAGTACTAACAGCAGAACGGACCAAGCTGAGGAAAGAATCTCAGATCTCAAAGACCACTTCTTTGAATCAACTCAGTCAGATGAAAATAAAGAACAAAAAAGAATGAACAAAACCTCTGAGAAATATGAGATTATGTAAAGAGACCAAACATATGACTCAAGGCATCACTCAAAGAAAGGGAGGAAGAACAAGCAAGTTGGAAAACATATTTGAGGATACTGCCCACAAAAATTTCCCAAATCTTGCTAGAGAAGTCACCATTTAAATCCAGGAAATGCAGAGAATCCTGTGAGACACTATACAAGATGACCATCCCCAAGACAGAGAGTCATCAGATTCTCCAAGGTCAACATGAAATAAAAAAATATGAAAGGCAGCTAAAATGAAGGGGCAGGTCACATACAAAGGGAATCCCATCAGGCTAACAGTGGAACTATAAGATACTCTACAATCCAAAAGAAATTGGGGGCCTATATTCAGCATTCTTTTTTTTTTTTTTTGAGACGGAGTATCACTCTGTTGCCCAGGCTGGAGTGCACTGGTGCTATCTCGGCTCACTGCAACCTCCACTTCCCGGGTTCAAGCAATTCTTCCCCCTCAGCCTTCCAAGTAGCTGGGACTACAGGTGTGCACCACAACACCCAGCAATTTTTTGTAATTTTAGTAGAGACAGGATTTCACCATATTGGCCAGGGTGGTCTCAAATTCCTGACCTCATGATCTGACCACCTCGGCCTCTCAAAGTGCTGGGATTACAGGTGTGAGCCACCATGCCCGGCCTTCAGCATTCTTAAAAAAAAAATACTTGGCTGGGTGTGGTGGCTCATGCCTGTAATCCCAGCACTTTGGGAGGCTGAGGGAGGCAGAACACAAGGTCAAGAGATCAAGACCATCCTGGCCAACATGGTGAAACCTCATCTCTAATAAAAATACAAAAATTATCTGGGCATGGTGGTGCGTGTCTGTAGTCCCAGCTACTCGGGAGGCTGAGGCAAGAGAATCACTTAACCCAGGAGGTGGAGGTTGCAGTAAGCCGAGATAACACCACCACACTCCAGCCTGGGGACAGAGCAAGACTCTGTCACAAAAAAAAAAAAAAAAAAAAAAAAAAAAATTCAACCAAGAACTTAATATCCAGCCAAACTAAACTTCATATGTGAAGGAGAAGTAAGATCCTTTTCAGACAAGCAAATGCTAATGGAATCTGTTACCACCAGACATGCCTTACAAGAGGTCCTTAAGGGAGTGCTAAGCGTGGAAGTGAAAGACTGTTAATGGCCACCACAAAAATACATTTAAGTACATAGACCATTGACGTTGTAAAGTAACTACACAATCAAGTCTGCATAATAACCAGCTAACAACATAATGGTAGGACCAAAGCTATAAATACCAATATTAACTGTGAATGTAAACAGTATAAATGCCCCGCTTAAAACTCACAGAATGACAAGTTGGATAAAGAAGCAAAGCCCAACCTTATCTGTTGTCAAGAGACCCAGCTCATATGCAACAATACCCATTCGCTTGAAGTAAAAGGATGGAAAAAAATCTACCAAGCAAATGTAAAACAAAAAAGGGTAAGCATTGTTATTCTAATTCAGACAAAATAGACTTTAAACCAACAACAATCAAAAAGACAAAGAAGGGCACTAAGTAATGATAAAGGGTTCAATTCAACAAGAAGACTTAACTGTCTGAAAGATAAATGTGCTCAAAACTGGAGCATTCACATTCGTAAAACAAGTTCATAGATACCTATAGAGAGACTTAGATAACCACAGAATAGTGGGAGACTTCAACATCTCACTGACGGTACTAGACAGATCATAGAGACAGAAAATGAACAAAGATATTCAGGACTTGAAGTCAACACTTGGCTAAATGGACCTAACAGCCATCTACAGAACACTCCACCCAACAACAACAGAATATATCTTCCTCTCATCTGTACATGGCATATATTGTAAAATTGATCACACTATCAGTCTAAAATTATTTTCAGTAAATTAAAAGAAACCCCTGAAATCATGCCAACCACAATCTTGGACCGCTCAGTGTAACAAAAATAGAAGTCAACACTAAGAAGAACTCTCAAAACCATACAATTACATGGAAATTAAACAACCTGTGCCTGAATGACTTTTGGGTAAACAATGAAATTAAGGCAGAAACCAATAAATTCTTTGAAACTAATTAAAACAAAGATACAACATTCTAGGCTCTCTAAGACACAGGCAAAGCAGTGTTAAGGGAAAAGTTTATCGTGCTAAATGCCCATATTGAAAAGTTAGAAGGATCTTAAATTAACAACCTAATATCATACTTAAAGGAAATAGAAAAACAAGAGGAAACCAACCCAAAGCTAGCAGAAGAGAATAAATAACCAAAATCAGAGCAGAATGGAATAAAATTGAGTCATGAAAAGGCATACAAAGGATAAATGAAACTAAAAGCTGGTTCTTCAAAAGAATAAATAAATTTGATAGGTCACTAGCTAGACCAATAAGGAAAAAAAAAAAGAGAAGATACAAAAAACACAATCAGAAATGGTAAAGTGGACATTACCGCCAACCACACAGAAATACAAAAAACTCTCAGAGACTATGATGAACATGTTTATGCAAACAAAGTAGAACACCTACAAGAAATGGGTAAATTTCGGGGGGAGGAGCCAAGATGGCCGAATAGGAACATCTCCGGTCTACAGCTCCCAGCGTGAGCAACACAGAAGACGGGTGATTTCTGCATTTCCATCTGAGGTACCGGGTGCATCTCACTAGGGAGTGCCAGACAGTGGGCACAGGCCAGTGGGTGTGCTCACTGTGCGTGAGCCAAAGCAGGGCGAGGCATTGCCTCACCTGGGAAGCGCAAGGGGTCAGGGAGTTCTCTTTCTGAGTCAAAGAAAGGGGTGATGGACGCACCTGGAAAATCGGGTCACTCCCACCCGAATATTGCGCTTTTCAGACTGGCTTAAAAAACGGCGCACCACGAGACTATATGCCACACCTGGCTTGGAGGGTCCTACGCCCACGGAATCTCGCTGATTGCTAGCACAGCAGTCTGAGATCAAACTGCAAGGAGGCAGCGAGGCTGGGGGAGGGGCGCCCTCCATTGCCCAGGCTTGCTTAGGTAAACAAAGCAGCTGGGAAGCTCGAACTGGGTGGAGCCCACCACAGCACAAGGAGGCCTGCCTGCCTCTGTAGGCTCCACCTCTGGGGGCAGGGCACAGACAAACAAAAAGACAGCAGCAACCTCTGCAGACTTAAATGTCCCTGTCTGACAGCTTTGAAGAGAGCAGTGGTTCTCCCAGCACGCAGCTGGAGATCTGAGAACCGGCAGACTGCCTCCTCAAGTGGGTCCCTGACCCCTGACCCCCGAGCAGCCTAACTGGGAGGCACCCCCCAGCAGGGGCACACTGACACCTCACACGGCAGGGTATTCCAACAGACCTGCAGCTGAGGGTCCTGTCTGTTAGAAGGAAAACTAACAAACAGAAAGGACATCCACACCGAAAACCCATCTGTACATCACCATCATCAAAGACCAAAAGTAGATAAAACCACAAAGATGGAGAAAAAACAGAACAGAAAAACTGGAAACCCTAAAACGCAGAGCGTCTCTCCTCCTCCAAAGGAACGCAGTTCCTCACTAGCAACAGAACAAAGCTGGATGGAGAATGACTTTGACGAGCTGAGAGAAGAAGGCTTCAGACGATCAAATTACTCTGAGCTACGGGAGGACATTCAAACCAAAGGCAAAGAAGTTGAAAACTTTGAACAAAATTCAGAAGAATGTATAACTAGAATAACCAATACAGAGAAGTGCTTAAAGGAGCTGATGGAGCTGAAAACCAAGGCTCGAGAACTACGTGAAGAATGCAGAAGCCTCAGGAGCCGATGCGATCAACTGGAAGAAAGGGTATCAGCAATGGAAGATGAAATGAATGAAATGAAGTGAGAAGGGAAGTTTAGAGAAAAAAGAATAAAAAGAAATGAGCAAAGCCTCCAAGAAATATGGGACTATGAGAAAAGACCAAATCTATGTCTGATTGGTGTACCTGAAAGTGATGGGGAGAATGGAACCAAGTTGGAAAACACTCTGCAGGACATAATCCAGGAGAACTTCCCCAATCTAGCAAGGCAGGCCAACATTCAGATTCAGGAAAAACAGAGAACACCACAAAGATACTCCTGGAGAAGAGCAACTCCAAGACACAAAATTGTCAGATTCACCAAAGTTGAAATGAAGGAAAAAATGTTAAGGACAGCCAGAGAGAAAGGTCGGGTTACCCTCAAAGGGAAGCCCATCAGACTAACAGTGGATCTCTCGGCAGAAACCCTACAAGCCAGAAGAGAGTGGGGGCCAATATTCAACATTCTTAAAGAAAAGAATTTTCAACCCAGAATTTCATATCCAGCCAAACTAAGCTTCATAAGTGAAGGGGAAATAAAATACTCTACAGACAAGCAAATGCTGACTCATTTTGTCACCACCAGGCCTGCCCTAAAAGAGCTCCTGAAGGAAGTGCTAAATATGGAAAGGAACAACCGGTACCAGCCCCTGCAAAATCATGCCAAAATGTAAAGACCATCGAGACTAGGAAGAAACTGCATCAACTAACGAGCAAAATCACCAGCTAATATCATAATGACAGGATCAAATTCACACATAACAATATTAACTTTAAATATAAATGGACTAAATTCTCCAATTAAAAGACACAGACTGGCAAATTGGATGAAGAGTCAAGATCCATCAGTGTGCTGTATTCAGGAAACCCATCTCATATGCAGAGACACACATAGGCTCAAAATAAAAGGATGGAGGAAGATCTGCCAAGCAAATGGAAAACAAAAAAAGGCAGGGGTTGCAATCCTAGTCTCTGATAAAACAGACTTTAAACCAACAAAGATCAAAAGAGACAAAGAAGGCCATTACATAATGGTAAAGGGATCAATTCAACAAGAAGAGCTAACTATCCTAAATATATATGCACCCAATACGGGAGCACCCAGATTCATAAAGCAAGTCCTGAGTGACCTACAAAGAGACGTAGACTCCCACACATTAATAATGGGAGACTTTAACACCACACTGTCAACATTAGACAGATCAACGAGACAGAAAGTCAACAAGGATACCCAAGAATTGAACTCAGCTCTGCACCAAGCGGACCTAATAGACATCTACAGAACTCTCCACCCCAAATCAACAGAATATACATTTTTTTCAGCACCACACCACACCTATTCCAAAATTGACCACATAGTTGGAAGTAAAGCTCTCCTCAGCAAATGTAAAAGAACAGAAATTATAACAAACTATCTCTCAGACCACAGTGCAATCAAACTAGAACTCAGGATTAAGAATCCCACTCAAAGCTGCTCAACTACATGGAAACTGAATAACCTGCTCCTGAATGACTACTGGGTACATAACGAAATTAAGGCAGAAATAAAGATGTTCTTTGAAACCAATGAGAAGAAAGACACAACATACCAGAATCTCTGGGATGCATTCAAAGCAGTGTGTAGAGGGAAATTTATAGCACTAAATGCCCACAAGAGAAAGCAGGAAAGATCCAAAATTGACACCCTAATATCACAATTAAAAGAACTAGAAAAGAAAGAACAAACACATTCAAAAGCTAGCAGAAGGCAAGAAATAACTAAAATCAGAGCAGAACTGAAGGAAATAGAGACACAAAAAACCCTTCAAAAAATCAATGAATCCAGGAGCTGGTTTCTTGAAAGGATCAACAAAATTGATAGACCGCTAGCAAGACTAATAAAGAAAAAAAGAGAGAAGAACCAAATAGACACAATAAAAAATGATAAAGGGGATATCACCACCGATCCCACAGAAATACAAACTACCATCAGAGAATACTACAAACACCTCTACGCAAATAAACTAGAAAATCTAGAAGAAATGGATAAATTCCTCGACACATACACTCTCCCAAGACTAAACCAGGAAGAAGTTGAATCTCTGAATAGACCAATAACAGGAGCTGAAATTGTGGCAATAATCAATAGTTTACCAACCAAAAAGAGTCCAGGACCAGATGGATTCACAGCGGAATTCTACCAGAGGTACAAGGAGGAACTGGTACCATTCCTTCTGAAACTATTCCAATCAATAGAAAAAGAGGGAATCCTCCCTAACTCATTTTATGAGGCCAGCATCATTCTGATACCAAAGCCGGGCAGAGACACAACCAAAAAAGAGAATTTTAGACCAATATCCTTGATGAACATTGATGCAAAAATCCTCAATAAAATACTGGCAAACCGAATCCAGCAGCACATCAAAAAGCTTATCCACGACGATCAAGTGGGCTTCATCCCTGGGATGCAAGGCTGGTTCAATATATGCAAATCAATAAATGTAATCCAGCATATAAACAGAGCCAAAGACAAAAACCACATGATTATCTCAACAGATGCAGAAAAAGCCTTTGATAAAATTCAACAACCTTCCATGCTAAAAACTCTCAATAAATTAGGTATTGATGGGATGTATTTCAAAATAATAAGAGCTATCTATGACAAACCCACAGCCAATATCATACTGAATGGGCAAAAACTGGAAGCATTCCCTTTGAAAACTGGCACAAGACAGGGATGCCCTCTCTCACCACTCTTATTCAACATAGCGTTGGAAGTTCTGGCCAGGGCAATTAGGCAGGAGAAGGAAATAAAGGGTATTCAATTAGGAAAAGAGGAAGTCAAATTGTCCCTGTTTGCAGATGACATGATTGTATATCTAGAAAACCCCATTGTCTCAGCCCAAAATCTCCTTAAGCTGATAAGCAACTTCAGCAAAGTCTCAGGATACAAAATCAATGTACAAAAATCACAAACATTCTTATACACCAACAACAGACAAACAGAGAGCCAAATCATGAGTGAACTCCCATTCACAATTGCTTCAAAGAGTATAAAATACCTAGGAATCCAACTTACAAGGGATGTGAAGGACCTCTTCAAGGAGAACTACAAACCACTGCTCAAGGAAATAAAAGAGGATACAAACAAATGGAAGAACATTCCATGCTCATGGATAGGAAGAATCAATATCGTGAAAATGGCCATACTGCCCAAGGTAATTTACAGATTCAATGCCATCCCCATCAAGCTACCAATGACTTTCTTCACAGAATTGGAAAAAACTACTTTAAAGTTCATATGGAACCAAAAAAAGAGCCCGTATTGCCAAGTCAATCCTAAGCCAAAAGAATAAAGCTGGAGGCATCACACTACCTGACTTCAAACTATACTACAAGCTACAGTAACCAAAACAGCATGGTACTGGTACCAAAACAGAGATATAGATCAATGGAACAGAACAGAGCCCTCAGAAATAACGCCGCATTCCTACAACTATCTGATCTTTGACAAACCTGAGAAAAACAAGCAATGGGGAAAGGATTCCCTATTTAATAAATGGTGCTGGGAAAACTGGCTAGCCATATGTAGGAAGCTGAAACTGGATCCCTTCCTTACACCTTATACAAAAATCAATTCAAGATGAATTAAAGATTTAAACGTTAGACCTAAAACCATAAAAACCCTAGAAGACAACCTAGGTATTACCATTCAGGACATAGGCATGGGCAAAGAATTCATGTCCAAAACACCAAAAGCAATGGCAACAAAAGCCAAAATTGACAAATGGGATCTAATTAAACTAAAGAGCTTCTGCACAGCAAAAGAAACTACCATCAGAGTGAACAGGCAACCTACAACATGGGAGAAAATTTTCGCAACCTACTCATCTGACAAAGGGCTAATATCCAGAATCTACAATGAACTCAAACAAATTTACAAGAAAAAAACAAACAACCCCATCAAAAAGTGGGTGAAGGATATGAACAGACACTTCTCAAAAGAAGACATTTATGCAGCCAAAAAACACATGACAAAATGTTCATCATCACTGGCCATCAGAGAAATGCAAATCAAAACCACAATGAGATACCATCTCACACCAGTTAGAATGGCAATCATTAAAAAGTCAGGAAACAACAGGTGCTGGAGAGGATGTGGAGAAATAGGAACACTTTTACACTGTTGGTGGGACTGTAAACTAGTTCAACCATTGTGGAAGTCAGTGTGGCGATTCCTCAGGGATCTAGAACTAGAAATACCATTTGACCCAGCCATCCCATTACTGGGTATATACCCAAATGACTATAAATCATGCTGCTATAAAGACACATGCACACGTATGTTTATTGTGGCATTATTCACAATAGCAAAGACTTGGAACCAACCCAAATGTCCAACAATGATAGACTGGATTAAGAAAATGTGGCACATATACACCATGGAATACTATGCAGCCATAAAAAATGATGAGTTCATGTCCTTTGTAGGGATATGGATGAAATTGGAAATCATCATTCTCAGTAAACTATCACAAGAACAAAAAACCAAACACCGCATATTCTCACTCATAGGTGGGAATTGAACAATGAGATCACATGGACACAGGAAGGGGAATATCACACTCTGGGGACTGTGGTGGGGTGGGGGGAGGGGGGAGGGATAGCATTGGGAGATATACCTAATGCTAGATGACGAGTTAGTGGGTGCAGCGCACCAGCATGGCACATGTATACATATGTAACTAACCTGCACAATGTGCACATGTACCCTAAAACTTAAAGTATATAAAAAAAAAAAAAAGAAATGGGTAAATTTCTGGAAACATACAACCTCCCAAGATTGAACTAGGAAGAAATTGAAATCCTGAACAAAGCAAAAAATGTGTTTTGAAACTGAATGAGTAATAAAAAGTCTCTGAGCCAAAAAAAGAAAAAAAAATGCAAGCCCAGGACCCAACAGATTCAGAGACAAATTCTACCGGAAGTGTAAAGAAGAGCTGGTATCAATGCTACTGAAATTGTTCCGAAAAAAGGAGGAGGAAGGATCCCTCCCTAACTCATTTTATGAGGTCAGCATCATTCAGATATGAAAACCTGGCAGAGACACAACAAAAAAGAAAACTTCAGGACAGTTATCACTGATGATCATAGATCATCATTCTTCCCTGAACTAGAAAAAGCATTCCTAAAATTCATGTGGAACTCAAAAATAGCCCGCATAACGAAAGCAAGACTAAGCAAAAAGAACAAATGTGGATGCATCACATTGCTTGACTTCAAGCTGTACTATAAGTCTATAGTCACCAAAGCAGCATAATACTGCTATAAAAATAGGCACGTAGACTAATGGAATCGAATAGAGAACTGAGAAATAAAGCCAAATACTTAAGCCAACTGATCTTTAACAAAGGAAACAAAAACATAAAGTTGGGAAAGGACACCATATTCAACAAATGGTGCTGGGTTAATTGGCAAGCCATATGTAGAAGAATGAAACTGCATCCTCATCTCTCACCTTATACAAAAATCAACTCAAGATGGATCAAAGACTTAAATCTAACACCTAAAACTATAAAAATTCTAGAAGGTAACATTGGAAATACCCTTCTAGACATTTGCTTAGGCAAAGACTTCATGACCAAGAACCCAAAAGCAAAGGCAACAAAAGCAAAGATAAGTAGATGGGACTTAATTAAACTAAGAAGCTTCTACACAGCAAAAGAATTAATCAGCAGAGTAAAAAGACAACCTATATAGAGTGGGAGAAAATCTTTACAAACTATGCATCCAACAAAGTGCTAATATGTAGAATCCATAAGGAACACAAACAAATCAGCAAGAAAAAAACAAACTACCCTATCAAAAAGTGTGTTAAGGACATGAATAGACACTTCCCAAAAGAAGATATAAATGGCCAAGAAACATGAAAAAATCCTCAATATCACTAATTATCAGGGAAATGCAAACAAAACCACAATGCGATACCATCTCACTCCTCCAAGAATAGCCATAATCAAAAAATTAAAAAAAAATAGATGTTGCCATGGGTGTGGTAAAAAGGGAACACCTTTACACTGCTGGGGGGAATGTAAACTAGGACAACCACTATGGAAAAGAGTATGAAGATTTCTTAAATAATTAAAAGTAGATCTACCATTTGATCTAGCAATCCCACTACTAGGTATCTACCCAGAGGAAAAGAAGTCTTTATATGAAAAAAATACTTGGACACACGTTTACTGCAGCACAATTTGCAATTGTGAAAGATATGGAACTAGCTCAAATGCCCATCAATCAATGAATGCATAGAGAAAATGTGGTGCATATATATATGTGTATATACACACATATATGTGTATATATGTGTATATACACATATATGTGTATATATATGTGTATATACACACATATATGTGTGTATATATGTGTATATATGTGTATATACACACATATGTGTATATATGTGTATATATATGTGTATGTGTGTGTATATATATACACACACAGACCATGGACAGAATACTACTCAGCTATAAAAAGGAATGAAATAATGGCATTCACAGCAGCCTGGAAGGAGTCGGACACCATTATTCTAAGTGAAGTAATTCAGGAATGAAAAAACCAAACATTGTATATTCTGACTTATAAGTGGGAGTTATGCTATGAGGATGCAAAAGCACAAGAATGATACAATGGACTTTGGGGACTTAGGGGGAAGAGTAGGAGGAGGGTGAGGGATAAAAGACTACACCTTGGGTGCAGTGTACAGTGCTCTGGTGATGGGTGCACCAAAATCTCAGAAATTACCACTAAAAATATTTTCCATGTAAACAAACACCACCTGTTCCTTAAAAACTAATGAAAAAAAATAAAAAAGACATGAGATCAACCTAAATGTCCATCAATGGTGAACTGGATAAAGAAAATGTGGCACATATACACCATAGAATAATACACAAAGTTAATTAACGCAGGAGCAGGAAACCAAATATCCCATATTCTCACTTATAAGTGGGAGCTAAACACTGAGTACACATGGACAGAAAGAAGGGATCAATCGTCACTCTGCATACCAAACCCCTGTGACATGCAATTTATCCATATAACAAGCCTGCTAATGTACCCCTTGAGCCAAAATAAAAATTGGAGAAGAAAAAAACTCCTAAGAGTTGTCACTTTGGGTAGAGTTATGGGCATTATGATTTGAAGGCATAGTTTAAGGTCATTCCTCCTTTATTTATAAAGTTCTAATTTTTAAAATAAAAGTGCATTTGAGTATTTTATCATAAACATTAATTTAAAAATTCACTGGATTTTGTAGTAACTATGTAATGGATGAACTTTGCTATGAGTGTCATTGGAATGGATAAGCAGAGACAAAAGTTGATTAATTAAGAAATGAAAAGGAGTTAGGATCTAGAGACAGTAGTTATAGACTTATTTTGAGGAATTCAAACATAAGACAAATGGATGGTAGATAAAGATGGATGGGGCATTGGATATACGGCAAGAGATTTTGTTTGCTTGCTTTCTTCTGTCTATATAAAATGTTTCTCAAATATATATATATATATACACATACATATATATGAAATGTGCAACTGTATTTACATATAGCCATGAGGAAGAGGCCATTAGATAGATTAAAGCATACAGATATGTTATAATACAGATGAAAAGGAATAAATTGATCACGCGAATTTTCTTGATGATAAACATTTAGGGGCTATTAATGTTTGTTAAAAAATTTCGTGCAATTTGGGACATGCTCTGCTTTTAATCAAGTGCTTTCCAAGGATTTTAACACTGTGAAATGAATTTTAATAGAGCTTTTCTATACAATATTCTGAATATTTTAACAGTTTTAACCAAGCCTCTTTAATTGAATATTTTCGTAAGAAAAAATGAGAAAGAAATTACCCTAATAGAATTGCCCATTGCCAGGAAAATTTCATAATGAAGTGGGATAAAACAGCAGCTGCACTTGCCTCCATAAGGCATGGACCTATAGCCAATCTGAAACAAACCACCTTCAAATGCCTCAAAGCCTGAAACACAAAACAGTCACATTTGATACATTTACAATGGCCAAAAAGAAAATTATTTTAACAAATGTTGGTCTATAAAGTCTTTTTTCATAAGAAGCTTTCACTAAACAAAATCTCATTTCAACAGATTGTCCCACTGGACTTTGAACTCTATTATATTTTATATGTCATCATAGGTTGGATTATAAACAATTTCATCTTTTATAAAATATTATTGTATATTTTAATTATTAAAAGATCAATTTTACTGTGATTAAATAGTTAATGCTACCTTCCTGAACTTTCCTAATACATAGTATAATAATAGTGTCCTATTAGTGTTTTCCCATTAACTTTTTGATATGAACTGTTTGATTAACTTAATAAGTATAAATACAATACTAACATGCCAAAGAAAATAACTTAAAAACTGCATAATTCATTTTAAAAGGGAGAACTTTTCAATTTTCTCCTTGGTTCATACTTTCTACTGGAGAATATAATCTCATTGGCTATAATTATTTGTGCTCGAGCTATTTCTATTAAACCACATTTGCCACATATATTTGAGTGGCTGTCATATTCATGAATAGTCATCTTCTTATAGATGGAATTTATGATCCCTAGAATGTAATATTTTAAGAAATGTTTTAAAAGATTAGATTTTACAATAATGCAAAGATAATCAGGAACATAATCCTGTAGAGAAAACGTCATAAAAAATTACTGAAATCCTTAATCACCCTAAAAAAGAAAAAGAATTGTATAAGGTTTTTCTTATAAAACCTTTGTTTGTTTGTTTTGTTTTGTTTTGTTTTTTGAGACAGAGTCTCACTCTGTCCCCCAGGCTGGATTGCAGTGGCATTATCTCAGCTCACTGCAACCTCTGTCACTCAGGTTCAAGCGATTCTCTTGCCTCAGCCTCTCGAGTAGCTGGGATTACCAGGTAAATGCCACCATGCCCAGCTAATTTTTGTAGATTACAGGCATGAGCCATCATGCCCGGCCTTTTTTTCTTTATCTTAGGTTTGTTTACAGACTCCACTTGGAACAGGTAAATAAAATTTTTGCTTCTTTTTCTTTCTCACCATCCTCTAATATTTGAAATAACCTTACTCGATTTGTAATTGTAAATCTACCTGTGGATCGAGTCCAAGCCCAGCTCGTATTAGAATAATGTTAAGGGCAATGCTTCTTAAAATTGAAGACCATGCGTTAGGAACATGGACATGTTCATTGATGAATGGAACATTCCTAATTGTAAAACCAGCCAGTAACATCCCTTAAAAGAAAGAAAATAAACATACATGACAGTTCATTTTTCTGAGAAAGAAAACAGAAATGTTTACTTTATTTTCTAATGCACTATGTCTCTCATTATTTTGGTAAAGGGCAGGTTACAAGCAAGTAGAGAAGGCAGCATGAATAAAGGAATGGCGATAAGAAACAATACACCTAAATGGGGTTCAACAAGTAATTTAGTGTTGCTGGAACATACAGGGCAAGGAAAGGAGGGAGAAAAATGAGCTTGGTGGGCCAGATCATAGAAAGGTCTCCCCCCACTTTGGCAAAGTAAGGCACCATGGGAAGGTTTTAGGCAGGAAGTAACATAATGAGTCTTGTGATTTTTATATGACGGCCTTGGTGAATTAGTTAGGGATAAAACTGGAGACAGAGACCAAATTGAAGGCTCTGCCACAGTCCACGCAAAAGTTGGAAACAAATAGCCTAAGCTAGAGCAAAAGAGAAAGTTTGGAGAGGAGTAAAATGATTCAATAAATACTTAGAAGGTGCTGCAAGAAAACTGTGGATACAGAAGGAACAGTAGAGATAAGATGTAGAGATTATCTCTACTGACAGTGTACCGAATATATATTTATTTTGGGGGACAGGGTCTCATTCTGTTGCCCAAGGTGAGTGCAGTGATGCAAACATTGCTCACTGTAGGCTTAACCTCCTGAGCTCAAGTGATCCTCTTGCCTTAGCCTCCTGAGTAGCTGAGACCCAGAAAAATTTTTAATATTTTGTAAAGACAAGGTCTGCTATGTTGCCCAGGCTGGTTTTGAACTCCTGGGCTCAGGTGATCCTCCTTCCTTGGCCTCCCAAAGTGCTGGGATTATGGGCATGAGCCACCATGCCTGGCCCACTGTACTGAATATTTAGATATATTTGAATACAGTAAGTTCTCACTTAACGTCGTCAATAGGTGATTGGAAATGGCAACTTTGAGTAAAATGGTATATAACAAAACCAATTTTACCATAGGCTAAATGATATAAACAAGAGTCAATTTCCTACATCATATTTCTGGTCACAAAACATCACCAAGCTTCTAAATAAAGATCCAAAACACTTCTAGTATTAAACAATGAAATAAATGTGAGCTCTACATACATTTTACAAAGTTTTATAAAAACAAATAAGATAATTCTTTACTTAATTTTTGGTGAATCCACTAGTGATGGTGGTTATAGCAGTGATGGTTAAAAATCAAAGAATAAATGTTTACAAAGTGAAAATTGTAAGGAGCACCTCCTCCCACTATGCAGTTCAAAAACAAACACAAATATGGTAGGCTGGCTGAGAGTTTTCATATCACATTGTTTATTGTCTTGCATTTGTATGGTTGTCATATACTTAACAAAATTTTATTTTACAATAATTTATATTCACTCATTTATTCATTGTACAATCCACTAGTTCAGGGTCATTGTACAATCCACTAGGATACTAGTTCAGGGTCAAAGGTGACTGAAACTTAATCCAAAAAAATCAAGGAGGGACTCCCTCCCTAACACATTCTATGAATCTAGTATCACAATTATACCCAAATCAGGCAAAGCCATACACACACACACACACACACACACACACACACACACACTACTGGTCAATATCCCTGATGAACATAGATGCAAAAATTCTCAACTAGCAAAATGAATTCTATAGTACATCAAAAAGATATTATAGTTAAGTGGGTTTTACTCCAGAAATACAAGGATGGTTCAACATGTGAATCATTCATAAAGACATACACACACATATGTTCATTGTGGCACTATTCACAATAAAAAGACATGGAATCAACTTAAATGACTAAATAAAGAAAATGTGGCACATATACACCATGGAATACTATGTAGTCATAAAAAAGAATAGCATCATGTTCTTTGTAGCAACATGGATAGAGCTGAACACCATTATCCTAAGTGAAATAACTCAGAAACAGAAAACTCAAATACCACATGTTCTCACTTATATGTGGGAGCTAAACAATGGGTACATATGGACATAAAGATGGAAATAATAGACACTGAGGAGTTCAAAAGGAGAGAGGGTTGCAGTGAGCCGAGATTGTGCCACTGCACTCCAGCCTGGGTGACAGAGTGAGACTCAGTCTCAATAAAAAAATAAAAAATAAAAAAAAAACCTATATGTGAAATCTTGAAAATGCTAACTTATAATATATGATAGTTAAAAACATCATGGCAATATGATGAGATTTACTTCATTTTATATTTTAAGATAGCTTTTTTATCAGGATGGAAAATAAGAGGATGATTGGCTGTGATAAGAATTCACAACCTTATTGAAGATCACAGTGTCAAGGTGCCAAATCTTTTAAAAGGAACCTGCTAAATCTTTTTATTGAAAGGCTAATTCAACTGATATTTGGCATAAATGTATTATAGGAGGTAATGGCAGGAAGAAATGAACCTAGATTTTGTGGGAATAAATATAAAGTATCTTAGATTATGTGTAGGAAGTAGAGAGAGATTAAGATGAGTAGGTATAAGTTACTAGACATCTTGTTTCTGGCAACTAGGTGATACTCACTGAGGAATCCATAGGTTTCTGTAAAGAACAGACAATAACATGGTAAATTTCCATTTGCTAATTAAATGGCTACCTTTATTTGCTATGAATTATAATTGCTAATGCTTTTAATATTCTTAAAACAGCTTACATGAATTTTTTAGCTATGACCCCTTTCTGACTGTATAGAATTTGCCAGGGTAGAAGAGGAGGATTTTGACTTACTCCAGGCAGAAAGTTAGAACAAAGTTTCTTTCCTCCTCCCCTCTGATTATTGTCATCCTGCAAAACTGGAAGCCTTGGAGGGCTAAACTCTTACTAAAATAATGGACCAGGCTGGGCATGGTGGCTCACGCCTGTAATCCCAGCACTTTGGGAGGCCGAGGTGGGTGGATCACCTGAGGTCAGGAGTTCAAGATAAGCCTGACCAACACGGTGAAACGCCGTCTCTATTAAAAATACAGACAATTAGCCTGGACTGGTGGTGCATGCCTGTAATCCCAGCTACTTGGGAGGCTGAGGTAGGAGAATTGCTTGAACCCAGGAGGCGGATATTGCAGTGAGCTGAGATGGCACCACTTCACTCCAGCCTGGGTAACAAGAGCAAAACTCCATCTCAAGAAAACAAAACAAAACAAAACAAAAAACAAAAAAAAAATAAAAAACATAGACCAGAAAATGTCATCCTATTGACAAATTGAGAAGACAAGGCAGTTTGTCTTAGCTGGTCTCTGTGTGGCATAGTCTTTTTTGAGAATTCATATGTACAACTGGCCTCATCCAACTTATGTGTAGGGCTCAAATTACATTACATGCACAGGTTAGGGATCCCAAAGTTCTAAACCTACCATAAAATTGTCCCTGCATAGAAGTATCCCTAGAACACTTAGTAGATGCTAATTCAAAAAATCTCTAATAGACACTCCTGATCCCAGACTGCATAAAGTCTCAAAGGTAAAGCCAAGTGAATCTGAACTTAAAATAAGAAGAAATATCCCATGAGCAAAAGTTAACAGATACAACGAAGAATGGGATTAGATGTCTAAAAACCTCAGCTAATAGAACCACTAGATAGACACTATAAAATATTTATTTTCAAAGGGACTAGAGACAATTTTTAAAAATTGGAGACATGAGAAGAAGAAATTACTTGAAAGTATTGTAAAATAATTAAATAGAACATCTAGAAAAAACTTTAAAATTTACTCAACTGAAAAAAAACCCACTAAGTACCCAAATAGCAATCTAGACAAAGCTGAAGAGAGAACACAGCAAAGTAGTAGATATGAGGAAATTATTTAAGAGCATAGCACACACACAAAAAAAAAGAGGTGGAAAATGAGATTTAGATTATGGAAAAGACCTAAAACACAACTAATGGTAGTTTCAGAAACATAATTGAAAGAATGAAGAAGACATAATATTTGAGAAGAAAACTGGCTTCAAATTTTACAGAATTGATTAGGGTTTTTATTGATTTGGACACAGGAAGTCAAATGAGTTCTAATCAGGATTAAGTAAAAATAGATACTTAGATAAAATGTTGAGAAACTATAGACTACCAAAGGCAAAAATAAAATCTTAAATAATCTAGACAGAGAAAGAGAGATTAATCATAATTGAATAAAAAATAGAGCAGATTCTCAATTCTTATCAGCAACAATAGAAGATGGAGGATAATTAAATAAAGTCTTCAAAGTACAGAGATAAATAAAACATTCAATGTTGAATTCTGTAGCCAGTTAACTGTCACTCGAAAAAAAGACAAATGAAAGATACTGTCAAACAAACACATTTAAGAACATATGCCATTTTTTACCAGGGAAAAATCTACTGAAAGATATGCTTTAGAAATATGACATAGAATCAAAAAAGACAGAACAATGTGAAAAGAAATTGGTAAAAGGTAGGTTAGTCTAAACAAGTATTTGTTGTGTAACACATTACTAATGAAAATTGTTAATCAGAGGATATAAAGATAAGGTTGGGAGGAGACATGAAAAGGTTGGCAATTTATTTCTACACCAAAACTCCCCCCAGAAATTGGAGAAGTACCAAAAACAATCATTTCAGGACCCTGAAAACTCATCAAAGGCAGTTATCAAATTTAAGAAGCATTTATTCTTGAAAAAAGTGTTAGGGTTTTGGGTAGGATTGGTAAAATATGAGCCCTTCCTGACTGGGGTTGCTACCTGATATGGTTTGGCTTTGTGTCCCCATGCAAATCTCATCTTGAATTGCACTCCCATAATTCCTATGTGTTGTGGGAGGGACCTGGTGGGAGATAATTGAATTATGGGGGTGGCTCCCCCCCATACTGTTCTCGTGGTAGTGGATAAGTCTCACAAGATCGATGGCTTTATCAGGGGTTTCCGCTTTTGCATCTTCCTCATTTTCTCTTGCCGCCACCATGTAAGAAGTGCCTTTCACCTCCCGCCATGATTCTGAGGTCTCCTCAGCCACCTGGAACTATAAGTCCAATTAAACCTCTTTTTCTTCCCAGTCTTGGGTATGTCTTTATCAGCAGAATGAAAACGGACTAATACACTCCCATGTCTCTTCTCACCCCCAAGCTCAGTTGGGAAAAACTGTAGTTTTACAAGTTTGAAGCTGGATGTAAAACCCAGCAGCTTTCCTGTTAGGGCTGGGGGTACGGGTGGATTTGGTATGGAGTAGAGGGAAGAAATCAATGGTTTTGCCAGTTAAATATAGCAGAGTGGTTTGGGAATGAACAGAGAGAATTGCAGATTTGATAGTCTGAGGTTGCAGTTTCAATTGGGGAAGTGGAAGACAAGAGAAAAATTTAAATGAGAGATCCTGAGGGTCAATAGGTGCAGCAAACCACCATGGCACATGTATACCTGTGTAACAAACCTGAATGTTCTGCACATGTATCCTGGAACTCAAAGTAAAATTAAAAAAGAAAGAAAGAGAAAGAAAGAAAGAGAGAAAGAAACAAAGAAAGAAGGAAAGAGGAAGAAAGAAAGAAAAAGAGAGAGAGAAAGAAAAAGAAAGAAAGAAAGAAAGAAAGAAAGAAAAGAAAAGAAAGAAAGAAAGAAAAGAAAAGAAAAGAAAGACACACATGCAAGGCTAGAGTTTTCCAGTTCCAAGTTCCAATTCTCTCACTGAGAAGAGTGGCTCACTGTGCCTAAACAGTTCATACAAACAATGTGGTTTACTCTGAACAGCTGCTTTTCCTCTGGGAGTCTGGAATTCTGGTACATGTGAAGGAGAGCAACCTCCATAAAATCCTGAGTACTGAGTCTCTAATGAGACTCTGGTCCTGGTAGACGACATTGCACATGTGCTGTCAAAATTTCATGCTGGGAAAGAGAAACACATCCTTGTAACTCCACAAGAGATGATTCCAGGAAGCTTGTGCCTGGTATCCTCCAGACTTTACCACATACAACTTTTTCCCTTTGCTAATTTTGCTTTGTATCCATTCACTATAATAAATTAAAAACCTGAGTATTACTAAAAAAAAAGAGAGAGAGAGAGAGAGAAATCCTGGAAAGGAGAGAATCATAGAAAGTTTGAGAAAAGTTCTCCACACATATGGCCAATTGGAAAAGTATGGAAGTGCAAGAAAGACTCAAGAGAGTATGACAAAAAGTAAAAATGAAGTAAGACTTGAGTATTAATTGCAACTTTGAATGCATTCACCCACCCACCCACAGATTATTTGGCAGAGAGTGGAAGCCTTACTAGCTTTAATGTAATGTCTCTCCAAAATCAAGCTATGCAACAGACACAAAGGAAATCCCTAGAAAGACAGGCTAAAACAACAACAACAACAACAACACAATATAAAAGACATCAATGCTGGAAACCACTGGGTAGAAGGATTACACAGCACAAGTATAGGCCAATTACCAAAACATAACAACAACAAAGACAATAACAAATAAAAACCAAATCCAGATTTGCTATCATGTGTAATTAAAGTGTTTAGTTTTCAATTAAAAATTATCAGACATGTAAGGAAACAGGAAAATATGGCTCATACTCTGAAAAAAAAGCAGTGAATAGAAACTGTCTCAATTCAGATATTGGATTTAGAAAGAAAGTTTTCAAAGTATATATTATAAATATGTTCAAATTAAAAATATGATAATGTGCTGTCTAATAGAGGATATGAATAAGGAGACAGAATACATTTAAAAATAGAATCTAGAATTGAAAAGTACAAGAGTTAAAGTGAAAAAATCACTAGCGAGGTTCAATTGCATATTTGACCTTGTAAAAGAAATTATCAGTGAACTTGAAGGTAGACCAATAGAGGTTAATCAATCTGAAGAACAAAAAGAAAAAAGAATGAAGGATAATAAACAGATCCTCAGAAACTTATGGGATACCATCAAGAGCACTAACATATGCATAACTGGAATTCCAGGAGAAGAGAGAGATAAGAGGGCAGAAAAATATTTGAAAACATAATGTCTGAAAACTTCAAAAATGCTATGAAAAACATTAATCTTCAGATATAAGAAGTCCAACAAATCTCAAGTAGGATAAACACAAAGAGATTCACACCTAGAGCCATCCTTGTCAAATTGGTGAAAACCAAGGATAATAAGAAAATCATGAAAGTAGCAAGAGATGACTTATCACATACAGGGGAACAATAATGTTATCAATACTGGCATTTTTATCTGAAAAAAATGGAGGCCTTATGAAGCGACATTTCAAAAGTGGAGGGAAAAATAACTGTCAATTAAGAATTCTGTATCCAGTTAAACGATCCTTCAAAAATGGAGCTGAAATAAAGACATTTCCAGATAAATAAAAATAAAAAGAACTTAACCTTGCTAAAGAAACACTAAAGAAAATGCTTTTAAGATAAAAGGATATGACACCAGATGGCAACTTGAACCTATAAGTAATAAACGGCATGGGAAATGGTAAATAAATTTGTAAGTACAAAAGATTGTATGTGTGTATGTGTGTGTGTGTGTATTCTGATTTCATCTCTTTTTTTAAAAAATCATCTGATTATTATAGGCAATAACTATAACAATACTGCTGAGCTCATAGCATATAAGAGATACATTGGATCAAAGTTGCTATATAACACTGGAATTAAGTAAAACTTATTAAACCAAAGTAGATTGTAAAAAGTGAAGATGATTGATTATTATAATCCCCAAAGGTACTTGGGAGGCTGAGACAGAAGTATTGCTTGAGGCTAGGAGTTTGAGACTAGCCCGAGCAACACAATGAAACTCTGTTGATATAGTTTGGATATGTGTCCCTGCCCAAATCTCATGTTGAATTGTAATCCCCAAAGTTGGAGATAGGTCCTGCTGGGAGGTGAATGGATCATGGGGGCAGATTTCTCATGAATCATTAGTGCCGGCTAATTTGGTATTTTTAGTAGAGACAGGGTTTCTCCATGTTGGTCAGGCTGGTCTTGAACTCCTGACCTCAGGTGATACACCCGCCTCAGCCTCCCAAAGTGCTGGGATTACAGGCATGAGCCATCGTGACTGGCCTAAGCTTTACTTTCTAAAAATTATATTAAAATTGATATTTCTCTATTATCTAATCATAAATTATATCAAATATGCTGTTTTGAATTTTATTTTTCCCTTTAAACATAAAGACACACATTCAGTTCATTGTGCTAGATAAATTAACAGTGCAATCACAAATTAAGAAATGCAATTCAAAGAATTTTGCATACAAGGAGTCCTGAAAGTGTTAATAACTTTTGATGCAAAGATAATTTTATGAAAGTAATAGAATACTAAAAAAAGGTACAAAACAATTATTATGTAAGTATCTTCCTTTTTCTGAATCACCCGTGATTACTTTTTCCACCAAGCAAAAACTGACTACATATGTCAGACCTGTCTCAAATCTCCCCAGCCTCTTTTCCTAAACCTCCTCAGCCTCTCAGGACAGACAGGCTGCTCCTGTACTTTGTGCATTCTGCTATTTTTAGCAAGAGGCCTATTTTGTCAGTGTTGTCTGAATAGTATTTGCCAACTCTCAGACTTTCAGTCACTTATTTGTTTATTTATTTATTTATTTGTCTCCTTTTCTTGTATTTCCCTTTTCCTTTTCTTTCCTTTCTTTTTCCCTTTCCTCCTCCCTTCCTTTGCTTACTTATTTTTTTCCCTTTAATTCCCATTCACTATTTCCATGACTGTCAAATAGTAGGTTGATCCTTTAAAATATTCCTTTTTTAAAATTTATTGTACTTTAAGTTCTGGGTTACATATGCAGAACGTGCAAGTTTGTTACATAGGTATACACGTGCCATGTGGTTTGCTGCACCCATCTACAATATATCTTAAAATGAATAAAAGTGGAAACACACAGGAGACAGGGTGTATGGGGTGAGTGGGTTGCCAAGTGGATGGTGGCAGGGTGCTCCACGGTGGCCAGTAGGGCTAAGTGTTGTGTATTCCAAGCATGGCGGGGTTCCTGCCTTCCTGTGTGGCAGACTGTGGCATCAGGTAAGGGCCACTCAGTGCCCGCCCTGGCTCCTCCATTGCCTTGCTCTCAGCCCCTGACATCCAGCCCATACCTGGAGATTGAGCTGCACCCACTGCTCTGGGTCTCAGCCCTGTGATCACCTCAGCAGATATTCCGAGCTTGGCTGTGCAGGCAACACTGAGCCATAGTTTACTATTCTTTCATGCATTTCTATCAGAGAGTCAGCAAAGGTAGTTGACAAAGCCCAAGGGAGAATGTTGAGGGGAGTTGATGAGCTTGACTTTTTCATACAGGATGAAGCCATTGATAAATCTATGTATGCTACAAAGTGGTCAATATGACATGGAATCACTGAAGACTGGGATATTATGGAAAGGTTCATGGAGCAAGTGGTTTTTAAATATCTTTGAGCAGAATCTGAGGACCATTATTTTTTAATGACAGAACTTCCACTGAATACACTAGAAAATACAGAACATTTTTGCAGAAATTATGTTTGAATTATTTAATGTACCAGGATTCTACATTGCAGTTCAGGAGGTACTAGCCTTGGAAGTATCTTGGACATCTCAACAAGTGGGTGAATATATGTTAATGAGTATAGTCATTGACAAAGGAGATGGAGTCACCCTTGTTCTCCCAGTTGTAGAAGGTTATGTAATTGGGAGCTGCATCAATCACATCCTGATTGTAGGTGATACTGTGTATTTCATTCAACAACTGCTAAGGGAGAGGGAGGTAGGAATCCCTCTTGAGCAGTCACTGGAGACCACAAAAGTCATTAAGGAGAAATACTGTTACATTTGCCCTGATATAGTCAAAGAATTTGCTAAGTATGATGTGGATCCCTGGAAGTGGATGAAACAGTACACAGGTATCAATGTGATCAACCAGGAGAAGTTCATAATAAACGTTGGTTACAAAAGGTTCCTGCAACCTGAAATATTTTTTTACCCAGAGTTTGCCAACCCAGACTTTATGGAATCCATCTTGAATGTTGTTGATGAATACAAAACTGTCCCACTGATGTGTATTGTCCACTGTATAAGAATGTTGTTCTTTCAAGGGGTTTGACCATATTCAGGTATTTGAATCTCAACTACAGAGAGATTTGAAGAGTGGTACATGCCAGATTAAAACTCAGTAAGGAGCTCAGTGGCAGGAGAATCAAACCTAAGCTTACAGAGGTTCGGGTGGTAATCCATCACATGCAGCACTATGCCTTATGGTTTGGAAGCTTAATGCTAGCCTCAACTCTGGAGTTATTTCAGGTCTGTCACACCAAGAAGGACTATAAAGAATATGGTCCCAGCATCTGCCACCAGAACCTTCTCTTTGGAGTAATGTCTTAGTGTCTGCCTTGAAAGCACCATTTAATAGTGTCATGTTGGGGAACAAGTGTCCTTCAGAACCCAGAGAAGACTACCATTTCTAAATGACATTTGGTGTTGATGTCTGAGCAGCATGCTTGCATCACCTAGTGCATGAGGCACAGGGCAGAGTCATTTCAGTAAAAGCCATTTCTTTATGTGTTGACTGTTGTATGCCCACTCCTCCTTCTCTCACTCCCTTTCTTCATGCTTCCACAGTTTTCCTCCCCCTTTTCACTTGAACTTTTTTGTTGACAAATACCATTCTGAAGGAATTCAAATGTGACTCTGAAAATTGTTAAGAGGAAAAAAAATTTCAAAAATGGCCCAAAATAGTTCTCCCCCAGGAAAGAATGCAGTGGTATAAATCCTTTTCCCCCAGCCTATTTTTATAAATAAAATGTTATAAACAAAATACAAAAAACCAATAACATAGCAATATTTACAGGATGCAATTAAAGCAGTGTATAGAGGAAAATGTATAGCTTTAAAACAGAAAGAAAAAATAATCTAAAATTCATAATTAAAACTTCCATCTTAAGACTCTAGAAAAAGATGAGTAAACCAAGCCAAAAGTAAGTAGGATGTATGAAATAAAAATGTCACAGTGGAAAACGATAAATACAGAACAGGATAACATTAAAAACAACCAAAGAAACCCAAAATTGCTTATTTCAGAAAGTCAAGAAGATAAATAATATTTAGTTAAATTGACCAAGAAAAAAGAAAGAAGACACTAATTCCCAAGATCAAGAATCAAAGAGAAATATCACACAGACCCTACCCTTAAAAGGATGTTAAGAAAATAGCATAATAACTTTAAGGCAAAAAATTTGACAACTTCGATAAAATAGAACAATTCCTAGAAAGACACAAATTACCAAAACTGACTCAAGGAAAAAGAAAAAAAACAAATACCAATATCAAGTAAAGAAATTGCATCAGTAATTTCAAATCTTCCTGTAGAGAAAAAATATACTTCACTGGTGAATTCTATCAAACTATTAAGGGAGGAAATAATACCAATGTTACAAAAACTTTATTCAGCAAATAGAGGATGAAGGAAACTTCCCAACTAACTTTACTTCATTTGATATCAATATTACCCTGATATCAAAACAAGACAAAGACATTACAAGAAAACACAGCTATATACCAATATCCCTTGTGAACCTAGACATAAAAATTCTTAACCAAATATTAGCAAATGTAATTGAGTAACATGAAAAGGATTTTATACCATAATCAAATGAAGTTTATCTCAGGAATGTGAGGTTGACTTAACATCCAAAAATCAATGTAATAAACTATATTAACAGAATAAAGGACAAAACCATATGATCATCTCAATAGATGCAGAAAAGCATTTGACAGAATTCAACACTCATATATTTAAAAAAATCTCATCAACTTATGAATAGAAGGGAACTTCTTCAAATGATCAAGGCATCTACCAGAAGCCTATAGCCAACATACTTAATGGTAAGAATGTGCTTCCCTCTAGATTAGGAAACATGCAAAGATATCTGTGTTTACCACTTCTATTTAACAATGCACCACAGGACTTAATTTGTGCAATAGTCAAGGAAAAAAGGTATGGAAAAAAGACAACTCTTTTTATTGTTAGCCTTGTATGCAGAAAATCCTAAGGAACACACCCACACACACACCCACATACCACACCCCCTCCCAGACTTACTAGAACTAAGAGGGGGCTTAGTAAGTTTGTAGAGTATATGATCAATATACAAAAATCGGTTATATATATAGTAGCAACAAACAATACAAAGATGAAATAAAGAAAACAATTCCAATCACAATAGCATCAAAAATAAATGTCTTAGTTTGTTTTATGTTGTTATAATAGAACACCTGAGACTGTATAAAGAGGTTTATTTAGCTCACGTTTCTCCAGACTGGGAAGTTCAAGAAGCATGGCACCAGTATCTGCTTAGCTTCTGGTGAGGGCTTTAGCAGTGCATCACAACATGGCAGAAGACCAAAGAGGAAGTGGGAATGTGCCAAGAGGCCAAACACAAGGTACAACCTTGTACAATGGGTTGCTTTATAACAATCCATTCTCAGGGCAACTAATCTATTCCCACAGGTACCAATCCAGTTTCATGAGAGCAAGAACTCACTCACTATATGAGGACTGCACCAAGCTGCTCAAAATGGCAGAGCCCCCATGACCCAAGCATCTCCCATTAGGCCCTACCTCTTAAAGGTTCCAACATGATTTTTGACAGAAACACGGAAACCATGGCATTCCACCCTTGGAACCCCAAAGTCATGTCCCTCTTACACTACAAAATGTAATTATTCAATCTCAATGGTCCCCAAAGTCTTAATGTATTCCAGTAATAATTCAAAGGTCAAAGTCCAAAGTCTCATATAAGACTCAAGGCAAGTTCCTTCTAGCTATGAGCCTGTAAAATAAAATAAAATAAAAAGTTATTTACTTCCAAGATACAATGGTGGAATAGTCATATGGCAGACAGTTGCATTCCAAAAGGGAGAAATAGGCCAAAAGAAGAAAGAGGTGACAGGCCTCAAGCAAGTTCAAAACTCAGCAGGGCAGACACTAAATCTTAAAGCTCCAGAATAATTCTCCACTCCATGTGCTACCTCCTGGGCACAGTGGGGAGTTTTTATCCCTAAAGCCTTGGGCAGCCCCACCTCCATTGCTTTGTTGGGCATAGCCACATGGCTACTCTCACTGGTTGGAGTTGGATACCTGTGGCCTTTCCAGGCTGAGGTTGCATGGTGGCAATGGCTATATAGTTCTGGAGTCGCAGTGGTGGTCCACTTCAGGGACTCACTAGACATTGCCCTGGTACAGACTCTTTGTGGCAGCTCCAACCCTACATTTCTGCTCAGCATTGCCCTAGGGGAGATACACTGCAGTGGCTCTGGCCCTGCAACAAGTCTCCACCTGAGCTCCCAGTCGTTTCAGTACATTCCTTAAAATCTAGATAGCAGCCACCATGCCTCCACTTCTCTTGTATTCTGCACATCTGCAAAGCAACTACCACATGGCTGTAAAAGCCATCAAGGCTTACCACTTGCACCCTCCAGAGTGCTGTCATGAGCGGTATCTGAGGCTGCTTGATCCATGACTGCGTGCCACCAAGGTTTATGGTTTGTATCTTGTGGAATGGCAGCCTGAGCCACACCTGAGTATGATTGTGCCATGGCTGGGGTGGCTGCTGAGGGCTGTGCCAGAATTTGGGGAGCAGGATCTCAAAACAGCACAGGGCAGTGATGCATGGGTTCTGTCTCTTAAAACCATTCTGTCCTCCTAAACCTCTGGAGAGGCAACCTCAAAAATTTCTGAAATGTCTTCAGGGCCTTTAAAAAAATTGTCTCAATAATTGTCAACTGGCTTTCTTCTCTCAGTGCTAATCTCTTTAGTATTGGTTGTTCTGCTGCACCCTTGGATTCCTTGCCTGAAAATGCTCTTTCATTCTCTTCCACATGGCCAGGCTATTAATTTTCAAATTTTTGTGTTTGCTTCCCTTGTCATTTTGCATTTCACTGAATGTAGTAAGGAGTAACTACATAGCTGCTCTATATTTTGCTTAGAAATTTCTTCTGCCAGGTACCCTAGTTCATCACTCTTAAGTTTGGCCTTCCACAAAACCTTAGGGCACAAAGCCTTAGAAACAACACAGTCAAATTTTTGCTATGATCTAACAAGGATGACTTGGTCTCCAGTTCCTAATACCTTGTTCCTCATTTCTATCTGAGATCTCATTAGAATGGCCTTTGCTGTCCATATTTTTATCAGCATTGTGGTAATGACTACTTAACCAATCTCTAAGAAATTCTAAACTTCCTCTCATCTTTTTGTTGTCTTTTGAGCCCTCACTGAAATTATCCTTAATGCTCTGTTTATGGCAATACAGTCTTTTTCTAGTCTGCTCCTTCAAACTTTTCCATCTTCTGCCCATTACCCGTTTCCAATGATGCTTCTGCATTTTTGAGAATCTAAACAGCAACATCCCACTCTCAGTACCAATTTTCTGTCTTAGTCCGTTTTGTGTTGCTATAACAGAATACCGGAGACTGAGTAATTTATAAAGAGGTATATTTGGCTTGCAGTTCTGCAGGCTGGAAAGAATGACACTGGCATCTGCTTGGGTTCTGGTGAAAGCTTTAGTGTTGTGTCACAATATGGTAGAAGAAGGTCAAAGGGGAGTAGGCATGTACCAGGAGGCCAAGCATGAAGCGTGACCTCACCGTATAGCAACTCATTCTCATGGTAACTAATCCATTCCTGAGAGAACTAATCTCACAAGAGTGAGAACTCACTCACCAGTGTAAGAATAGTACCAAGCTGCCCACAAAGGAAGAGCTCCCAAGACCCAAACACTTCCCATTAGGCCCCACCTCTTAAGCGCTCCAACATGAGTTTTGGTAGAGACACTCAAACTATAGCAATAATAATTAGGAATAAATTTAATAAAATAAGTGTGAAAACTTTGCACTGAAAACTAAAAAACATCACTCAGATAAATGCCTAAATAAATGGAGAGATATATCATGTTAATGGATTAGATGAGTCAATATTGTTAGATGTCAATTGATCTACAAATTAACTGCAATTCCTGCCAAAAGTCTAGAAAGATTATTGGAAAAACTGACAAGCTGATTCTAAAATTATATAGAAATACAAAAATACCTAGAATAGCCAAAACAATCTTGCTAAGTAAGAATGAATTTAGAGTACTTAATATTGCCTTATTTTAAAATTCAGTGTAAAGCAACAGTAGTCAAGACAGTGTAGAATCCACATTAAGAGAGATAGATAGATCAATGGAACTAAGTGGAGTTCAGAATCCAACCACATAAATAGTCAATTAATTTTCATCAAAGATGCTAAGACAATTCAGTAGGAAAAAGATGTTCTTTCAACAAATGATTCTATAGGAACTGGTTATTCATTTACAAAAACTAAGCCTAGATCCTTAGGTCATATACGAAAATTAACTAAAATGGATCATAGACCTAATTGTATGAGCTAAAACTGTAAAACTTCTAGGAAAAAAAATAGGAGAAAATATTTATGACCTTGGACTAAGAAAAGTTTTCTTAGATATAATATCAAAAACATGTTCCATAAAAGAAAAACAGATAAATTGGACTGCACCAAAATGATGAAATCTTTGCTTTTCAAATATTTCTTAAATAAATGAAAAGAGAGGATTTTTCCAAGATGGCCGAATAGGAACAGCTCCTGTCTGCAGCTCTCAGCATAATTGACGTAGAAGACAGGTGATTTCTGTATTTCCATCTGAGGTACTTAGTTCATCACACTGAGACGGGTCGGACAGTGGGTGCAGCCCACAGAGGGTGAGCCGAAGCAGGGCAGGGTGTCACCTCATCTGGGAAGCAGCACAAGTGGTCGGGGGATTTCCCTTTCCTAGCCAAGGGAAGCCGTGACAGACGGCACCTGGAAAATCCAGACATTCCCACCCTAATACTGTGCTTTTCCAATGGTCTTAGCAAGCGGCACACCAGGAGATTATATCCCTTGCATGGCTTGGCGGGTCCCATGCCCACACAGCCTTGCTTACTGCTAGTGCAGCAGTCCGAGATCGAACTGCAAGGTGGCAGCCTGGGCTGGGGGAGGGACGTCCACCATTGCTGAGGCTTGAATAGTTAAACAAAGCAGCTGGGAAGCCTGAACTGGGTGGAGCTCACTGCAGCTCAAGGAGCCCTGGAAGCCTCTGTAGACTCCACCTCTAGGGGCAGGGTATAGCTGAATAAAAGGCAGCAGAAACTTCTGCAGACTTAAACATCCCTGTCTGACAGCTCTGAAGAGAGCAGTCATTCTCCAGCATGGAGTTTGAACTCTGAGAATAGACAGAGCTGCCCGTAGGGATTTACTGACACCTCATACAGCCAGGTGTCCCTCTGAGATGAAGCTTCCAGAAGAAGGATCAGGCAGCAATATTTGCTGTTCTGCAGCCTCCACTGGTGACACTCAGGCAAACAGGGTCTGGAGTGGACCTCCAACAAACTCCAACAGACCTGCAGCTGAGGGTCCTGATTGTTAGAAGGAAAACTAGCAAACAGAAAGGAACAGCATCAACAAAAAGGACATCCACACCAAAACCACATCTGTAGGTCACCATCATTAAAGACCAAAGGTAGATAAAACCACAAATATGGGGGGAAACCAGAGCAGACAAGCTGAAAATTCAAAAAACCAGAGCGCCGCTTCTCCTCCAAAGGATTGCAGCTCCTTGCGAGCAATGGAACAAAGCTGGATGGAGAATGACTTTGATGAGTTGACAAAAGTAGGCTTTAGAAGGTCAGTAATAACAAACTTCTCTGAGCTAAAGAAGGATGTTCGAACCCATTGCAAGGAAGCTGAAAACCTTGAACAAAGATTAGATGAATGGCTAACTAGAATAAACAGCATAGAGAAGACCTTAAATGACCTGATGGAGCTGAAAACCATGGCATGAGAACTACATGATGCATGCACAAGTTTCTGTAGCTGATTCAATCAAGTGGAAGAAAGGGTATCAGTGTTGGAAGATCAAATGAATGAAATGAAGTGAGAAGTGAAGTTTAGAGAAAAAGAGTAAAAAGAAATGAGCAAAGCCTCCAAGAAATATGGGACTATGTGAAAAGACCAAATCTAAGTTTGATTGGTGTACTTGAAAGTGATGGGGAGAATGGTTTACACATGAAATCCTTGCCCATGTCTATGTCCTGAATGGTATTGCCTAGGTTTTCTTCTAGGGTTTTTATAATTTTAGGTCTAACATGTAAGTCTTTAATCCATCTTGAATTAATTTTTGTATAAGGTGTAAGGAAGGGATCCAGTTTCAGCTTTCCACATATGGCTAGCCAGTTTTCCCAGCACCATTTATTGAATAGGGAATCTTTCCCCATTGCTTGTTTTTCTTAGGTTTGTCAAAGATCAGATAGTTGTAAATAGGTGGCATTATTTCTGAGGGCTCTGTTCTGTTCCATTGATCTATATCTCCATTTTAGTACCAGTACCATGCTGTTTTGGTTACTGTAGCCTTGTAGTATAGTTTGAAGTCAGGTAGCCTGATGACGCCAGCTTTGTTCTTTTGGCTTAGGATTGACTTGGCGATGTGGGCTCCTTTTTGGTTCCATATGAACTTTAAAGTATTTTTTTTCCAATATTGATTCTTCCAACCCATAAGCATGGAATGTTCTTCCATTTGTTTGTATCCTCTTTTATTTCATTGAGCAGTGGTTTGTAGTTCTCCTTGAAGAGGTGCTTCACGTCCCTTGTAAGTTGGATTCCTAGGTATTGTATTCTCTTTGAAGCAATTGTGAATGGGGGTTCACCCATGATTTGCCTCTCTGTTGGTCTGTTATTGGTGTACAAGAATGCTTGTGATTTTTGTACATTGATTTTGTATCCTGAGACTTTGCTGAAGTTGCTTATCAGCTTAAGGAGATTTTGGGCTGAGACAATGGGCTTTTCTAGATATACAATCATGTCATCTGTAAACAGGGACAATTTGACTTCCTCTTTTCCTAATCGAATACCCTTTATTTCCTTCTCCTGCCTAATTGCCCTGGCCAGAACTTCCAACACTATGTTGAATAGGAGTGGTGAGAGAGGGCATCCCTGTCTTGTGCCAGTTTTCAAAGGGAATGCTTCCAGTTTTTGCCCATTCAGTATGATATTGGCTGTGGGTTTGTCATAGATAGCTCTTACTATTTTGACATACGTCCCATCAATACCTAATTTATTGAGAGTTATTAGCATGAAGGCTTGTTGAATTTTGTCAAAGGCCCTTTCTGCATCTATTGAGATAATCATGTGGTTTTTGTCTTTGGCTCTGTTTATATGCTGGATTACATTTATTGATTTGCATATGTTGAACAAGCTTTGCATCCTAGGGATGAAGCCTACTTGATCATGGTGGATAAGTTTTTGATGTGCTGCTGGATTCGGTTTGCCAGTATTTTATTGAGGATTTTTGCATCAATGTTCATCAAGGATATTGGTCTAAAATTCTCTTTTTTGGTTGTGTCTCTGCCAGTCGTTGGTATCAGGATGATGCTGGCCTCATAAGATGAGTTAGGGAGGATTCCCTCTTTTTCTATTCATTGGAATAGTTTCAGAAGGAATGGTACCAGTTCCTCCTTATACCTCTGGTAGAATTCGGCTGTGAATCCATCTGGTCCTGGACTGTTTTTGGTTGATAAGCTATTGATTATTGCCACAATTTCAGAGCCTGATATTGATCTATTCAGAGATTCAACTTCTTCCTGGTTTAGTCTTGGGAGGGTGTATGTGTTGAGAAATTTATCCATTTCTTCTAGATTTTCTAGTTTATTTGCGTAGAGGTGTTTGTAGTATTCTCTGATGGTAGATTGTATTTCTGTGGCATCAGTGGTGATATCCCCTTTATCATTTTTTTATTGTGCCTATTTGATTCTTCTCTCTTTTCTTCTGTATTAGTCTTGCTAGCGGTTTATCAATTTTGTTGATCTTTTCAAAAAACCAGCTCCTGGATTCATTAATTTTTTGAAGGGTTTTTTGTGTCTCTATTTCCTTCAGTTCTGCTCTGTTCTTAGCTATTTCTTGCCTTCTGCTAGCTTTTTAATGTGTTTGCTCTTGCTTTTCTAGTTCTTTTAATTGTGATGTTAGGGTCAGAAAATACCACAAAGATACTCCTCGAGAAGAGCAACACAAAGACACATAATTGTCAGACTCACCAAGGTTGAAATGAAAGGAAAAATGTTAAGGGTAGCCAGAGAGAAAGGTTGGGTTAGCCACAAAGAGAATCAAATCAGACTAACAGCAGATCTCTTGGCAGAAACCCTACAAACCAGAAGAGGGTGGGGGCCAATATTCAACATTCTTAAAGAAAAGAATTTTCAACTCAGAATTTCATATCCAGCCAAACTAAGCTTCATAAGTGAAGGAGAAATAAACTCCTTTATAGACAAGCAAATGCTGAGAGATTTTGTCACCAGCAGGCCTGCCTTACAAGAGCTCCTGAAGGAAGCACTAAACATGGAAAGGAATAACCAGTACCAGCAACACAAAAACATGCCAAATTGTAAAGACCATCCATCCTAGGAAGAAACTGCATCAACTAATGAGCAAAATAACCAGCTAACATCATAATGACAGGATCAAATTCACACATAACAATATTAACCTTAAATGTAAATGGGCTAAATGCCCCAATTAAAAGACACAGACTGGCAAACTCGATAAAGAGCCAAGACCCATCAGTGTGCTGTATTCAGGATACCCATCTAACGTGCAGTGACACACATAGGCTCAAAATGAAGGGATGGAAGAAGATCTACCAAGCAAATGGAAAGCAAAAAATAGCAGGGGTTGCAATCCTAGTCTCTGATAAAACAGACTTTAAACCAACAAAGATCAAAGAGACAAAGACGGCCTTTATATAATGGTAAAGGGATCAATGCAACAAGAAGATCTAACTATCCTAACTATACATGCACCCAATACACTAGCACCCAGATTCTTAAAGCAAGTCCTTAGAGACCTACAAAGAGACTTAGACAACCACACAGTAATAATGAGAGACTTTAACACCCCGCTGTCAATATTAGACAGATCAATGAGACAGAAGGTTAACAAGGATTTCCAGGACTTGAACTCAGCTCTGCAACAAGCAGACCTAATAGACATCTACAGAAGCCTCCACCCCAAATCAACAGAATGTACATTCTTCTCAGCACCTCATCTCACTTATTCCAAAATTGACCACATAGTTAGAAGTAAAGCACTCCTCAGCAAATGTAAAAGAACAGAAATCACAACAAACTGTCTCCCAGACCACAGTGTCATCAAATTGGAACTCAGGATTAAGAAACTCACTCAAAACCACACAAATACATGGAAACTGAACAACCTGCTCCTGAATGACTATTTGGTAAATAACGAAATCAAGGCAGAAATGAAGATGTTCTTTGAAACCAACGAGAACAAAGACACAACAAAGCAGAATCTCTGGGACACATTTAAAGCAGTGTGTAGAGGGAAATTTATAGCACTAAATAACCACAAGAGAAAACAGGAAAGATCTAAAATCGACACCCTAACATCACAATTAAAAGAACTAGAGAAGCAAGAGCACACAAATTCAAAATCTAGCAGAAGGCAATAAATAACTAAGATCAGAGCAGAACTGAAGGAGATAGATAGAGACACAAAAAACCCTTCAAAATATCAATGAACCCAGGAGCTGGTTTTTTGAAGAGATCAACAAAATTGATAGACCACTAGCAAGACTAATAAAGAAGAAAAGAGAGAAGAATCAAATAGATGCAATAAAAAATGATAAAGGGGATTTCACCACTGATCCCATGGAAATACAAACTACCATCAGAGAGTACTACAAACCCCTCTCCACAAATAAACTAGAAAATCTAGAAGAAATGGATAAATTCCTGGACAAATACACCATCCTAAGACTAAACCAGGAAGAAGTTGAATCCCTGAATAGACCAATAACAGGCTCTGAAATTGAGGCAATAATTAATTAGCCTACCAACCAAAAAAAGTCCAGGACCAGATGGATTCACAGCCAAATTCTACCAGAGGTACAAAGAGGAGCTGGTACCATTCCTTCTGAAACTATTCCAATGAATAGAAAAAGAGGGAATCCTCCCTAACACATTTTATGAGGCCAGCATCATCCTGATACCAAAGCCTGGCAGAGACACAACCAAAAAAGAGAATTTTAGACCAATATCCCTGATGACCAATATCAATATCAATGCAAAAATCCTCAATAAAATACTGGCAAACCGAATCCAGCAGCACATCAAAAAGCTTATCCACCACTATCAAGTCAGCTTCATCCCTGGGATGCAAGCCTGATTCAATATATGCAAATCAATAAACGTAATCCGTCACACTTCAGCCTTCGAGTAGCTATCTGGTGCGCCACCATGCCCAGCTAATTTTTGTGTTTTTAGTAGATATGGGGTTTCACCATGCTGCCTACGTTAGTCTTGAACTCCTGGGCTCAGGTGATCTGCTCGCCTTGGCCTGCCAAAATGCTAGGATTACAGATGTGAGCCACTGTGCCCAGCCAATCTATGTAACTTTTCATGGAAGACAAATCTATAAAGAAAGCAGATCATTTGTTACTTGGGACTTAGGTAGGTGGGAGTGAGGATTTAATGAAAATAAGCATGAGGAAACTTTTTGAGATTATGTAAGTATTCAAAAACTGAATTTTTGTAATTGTTGTACAACTTTCTAAATTTGTCAAAACTCATCGAAATGTGCATTTAAATTAAATAAATTTTGTGCTCTGTATATTATACCTCAAAAAAGCTGATAAAATATAAATTGGAAAAAATGTACTGGAAAACAGTAAGTTGGGGATGAATGAGGGTGATCAAAATTAATGCATCCTTCAAGACAAAACTAGTGATTTTAATTTTACAGTTAGTTTTTTACATTACTTGTCAATTCAAGTACACATATTACATTTCAAGGGTAATCGTGAATAGAATAGAATTAGAACATACAACATTTAAACAAATAGAGGGGAAAAACCTTGATCAATCTAATAGAATGCATTGGGGAAAAGAATTGGAGAAATAATATGGTTAACAGAAAGCACAAAATATGATGACAGAAGTAAATATAAATTTATCCATAACCACAACAAACTTAAATGGTCTAAATTAGCTAAAGACAGACACTTGAAGACTGGATAAAAACGTGAAAATCCAGGTATAACCCGTAATAGTTAAAAACATGACGACACAAAATTCTGAAGGTATGAGATGAGTAAATGATAAATAAAACAAATATTAACCAATATATGGCTGATATAGCTATTTTCATATCAAAAACTATAATTTAAGACAAAAAACATTCTGAGGAATAAAAGTCATTTGTAAAGACATGTAGACATGTAACAATTCAACCATAAAATATATGAAGCACAAGTTGCAGAATTACAAAGAAAAAAGGCTAAATCCTCAACCTTGAAGAAACTTAAACCTCTGAGTCAATGATAATCAAAATGTAGTAAGATTATCTCAGATTTTAACCACTGTATTAAAAAAGCTTAATTTAAAGGAAATATATAGACTTCTGTATGCTCAAATTAGAGAATATATATACTTTGAAGCCTGATAAAGTCTTAGGAGTACTGAACCTATGCTAGCC